>NC_000005.10:47153439-47296069 GCF_000001405.40 Homo sapiens
TCATTCTCAGAAACTGCTTTGTGATGTGTGCGTTCAACTCACAGAGTTTCACTTATCTTTTCGTACAGCAGTTTGGAAACACTCTGTTTGTAATGTCTGCATGTGGATATTTTGACCTCTTTGAGGTCTTCGTTGGAAACGGGTTTTATTCATGTAAGGCTAGACAGAAGAATTCTCAGTAACTTCTTTCTATTGTGTGTATTCCACTGACAGAGTTGACCCTTCCTTTAGACAGAGCACATTTGAACCACTCTTTTTGTGGAATTTGCAAGTGGAGATTTCAGACGCATTGAGGTCAATGGTAGAAAAGGAAATATCTTCGTATAAAAACTAGACAGAATGATTCTCAGAACCTGCTTCGTGATGTGTGTGTTCAGTTCAAAGAGTTTTACCTTTCTTTTCATAGAGCAGTTAGGAAACACTCTGTTTGAACAGTCTGAAAGTGGATATTCCGATCTCTTTGAGGCCTTCGTTGGAAAAGGGATTTCTTCATATAATGCTAGACAGAGGAATTCTCAGTAACTTCTCTGTGTTGTGTGTATTCAAATCACAGAGTTGAACGTTCCTTTAGACAGAGCAGACTTGAAACACTCTTTTTGTGGAATTTGCAATAGGAAATTTCAAGCGCTTTGAGGCCAAAGGCAGAAGAGGAAATATCTTCGTAGAAAAACAAGTCAGAATCATTCTCAGAAACTGCTTTATCATGTGTGCGTTCGACTCACGGAGTTTAACCTACCTTTTCATACAGCAGTTTGGAAACACTCTGTTTGTAAAGTCTGCAAGTGGATATTTGGACATCTTTGAGGCCTTCGTTGGAAACGGGTTTTATTTATGTAAGGCTAGACAGAAGATTTCTCAGTAACTTCTTTGTGTTGTGTGTATTCAACTGACAGAGTTGACCCTTCTTTTAGGTAGAGCAGATTTGAGACACTCTTTTTGTGGAATTTGCAAGTGGAGATTTCACACGCTTTGAGGTCAATGGTAGAAAAGGAAATATCTTCATATAAAAACTAGACAGAATGATTCTCAGAACCTGCTTCGTGATGTGTGTGTTCAGTTCAAAGAGTTTTACCTTTCTTTTCATAGAGCAGTTAGGAAACACTCTGTTTGAACAGTCTGAATGTGGATATTCCGATCTCTTTGAGGCCTTCGTTGGAAAAGGGATTTCTTCATATAATGCTAGACAGAGGAATTCTTCGTAACTTCTTTGTATTGTGTGTATTCAACTCACAGAGTTGAACCTTCTTTTAGATAGAGCAGATTTGAAACACACTTTTTGTGGAATTTCCAATTGGAGATTTCAAGCGCTTCGGGGCCAATGGTAGAAAAGGAAAAATCTTCACATAAAAACTAGACAAACTCATTCCCAGAACCGGTGTAGTGATGTGTATGTTTAACTCACAGAGTTTATCCTTTCTTTTCATAGAGCAGTTGGGAAACACTCTGTTTGAAAAGTCTGCATGTGGATATTTGGACCGCCATGAGGCGTTCTTTGGAAATGGTGTTTCTTCATTTAAGGCTACACAGAAGAATTCTCAGTAACTTCCTTGTGTTGTGTGTATTCAGCTCACAGAGTTGAACCTTCTTTTAGATAGAGCAGATTTGAAAGACACTTTTTGGGGAATTTGCAAGTGGGGATTTCAAGCGCTTTGAGGCCAACGGTAGAAAAGGAAATATCTTCGAATAAAAAGTAGACAGAATCATTCCCAGAAACTGCGTTTTGATGTGTGCGTTCACCTAACAGAGTTTAACCTTCCTTTTCATAGAGCAGTAGGGAAACGCTATGTTTGTAAAGTCTGCAAGTGGATATTGGGAACTCTTTGAGGCCTTCATTGGGAATGGGGTTTCTTCATATAATGCTAGACAGAAGATTTCCTAGTAACTTCTTCCTGTTGTGTGTATTCAACTGACAACAGATGAACCTTCCTTTAGAGAGAGCAGATTTAAAACACTCTTTTTGTGGAATTTGCAAGTGGAGATTTCAGCCGCTTTAACGTCAATGGTAGAAAAGGAAATATCTTCGCATAAAAACAAGACAGAATCATTTTCAGAAACTGCTTTGTGATGTGTGCATTCAACTCACAGAGTTTAACCTTTGTTTTCATAGAGCCGTTTGGAAACACACAGTTTGTCAAATCTGTAAGTCGATATTCGGAACTATTTGAGGCCTTCGTTGGAAACGGGATTTCTTCATATAATGCTAGAAAGAAGAATTCTCAGTAACTTCCTTGTGTTGTGTGTAATCAACTCACAGAATAGAACGTTCCTTTAGATAGAGCAGATTTGAAACACTCTTTTTGTGGAAGTTGCACGTGGAGATTTCAAGCGCTTTGTGGCCAGTGGTAGAAAATGAAATATCTTCGTATAAAAAGTACACAGAATCATTCTCAGAAACTACTTTCTGATGTGTGCGTTCAACTCTCGGAGGTTAAACTTTCTTTTCATAGAGCAGTTTGGAAACAGTGTGTTTGTAAAGTCTGCAAGTGGATATTCGGACCTCTTTGGCACCTTAATTTGAAACGGGGTTTCTCCCTATAATGCTAGACAGAAGAATTCTCAGTAACTTGTTTGTGTTGTGTGTGTTCAACTCACAGAGTTGAACCTTCCTTTAGACAGAGCAGATTTGAAACACTCTTTTTGTGGAATTTGCAAGTGGAGATTTCAAGCGCTTTGAGGCCAAAGGCAGAAAAGGAAATATCTTCGTATAAAAACTAGATAGATCATTCTCAGAAACTGCTTTGTGATGTGTGCGTTCAACTCACAGAGTTTCACTTATCTTTTCGTACAGCAGTTTGGAGACACTCTGTTTGTAATGTCTGCAAGTGGATATTTTGACCTCTTTGAGGTCTTCGTTGGAAACGGGTTTTATTCATGTAAGGCTAGACAGAAGAATTCTCAGTAACTTCTTTGTATTGTGTGTATTCCACTGACAGAGTTGACCCTTCCTTTAGACAGAGCACATTTGAACCACTCTTTTTGTGGAATTTGCAAGTGGAGATTTCAGACGCATTGAGGTCAATGGTAGAAAAGGAAATATCTTCGTATAAAAACTAGACAGAATGATTCTCAGAACCTGCTTCGTGATGTGTGTGTTCAGTTCAAAGAGTTTTACCTTTCTTTTCATAGAGCAGTTAGGGAATACTCTGTTTGAACAGTCTTAAAGTGGATATTCCGATCTCTTTGAGGCCTTCGTTGGAAAAGGGATTTCTTCATATAATGCTAGACAGAGGAATTCTCAGTAACTTCTCTGTGTTGTGTGTATTCAAATCACAGAGTTGAACGTTCCTTTAGACAGAGCAGACTTGAAACACTCTTTTTGCGGAATTTGCCATAGGAAATTTCAAGCGCTTTGAGGCCAAAGACAGAAGAGGAAATATCTTCGTATAAAAAAAAGTCAGAATCATTCTCAGAAACGGCTTAATCATGTGTGCGTTCGACTCACGGAGTTTAACCTACCTTTTCATACAGCAGTTTGGAAACACTCTGTTTGTAAAGTCTGCACGTGGATATTTGGACATCTTTGAGGCCTTCGTTGGAAACGGGTTTTATTCATGTAAGGCTAGACAGAAGATTTCTCAGTAACTTCTTTGTGTTGTGTGTATTCAACTGACAGAGTTGACCCTTCTTTTAGGTAGAGCAGATTTGAGACACTCTTTTTGTGGAATTTGCAAGTGGAGATTTCAGACGCTTTGAGGTCAATGGTAGAAAAGGACATTTCTTCGTATAAAAACTTGACAGAATGATTCTCAGAAACTGCTTTGTGATATATGCGTTCAATTCAAAGAGTTCTACCTTTCTTTTCATAGAGCACTTAGGAAACACTCTGTTTGTAAAGACTGCAAGTGGATATTCGGACCTCTATGAGGCCTTCTTTGGAAAAGGGATTTCTTCATATAATGCTAGACAGAGGAATTCTTCGTAACTTCTTTGTATTGTGTGTATTCAACTCACAGAGTTGAACCTTCTTTTAGATAGAGCAGATTTGAAACACACTTTCTGTGGAATTTCCAATTGGAGATTTCAAGCGCTTCGGGGCCAATGGTAGAAAAGGAAAAATCTTCACAAAAAAACTAGACAAAATCATTCCCAGAAACTGTGTAGTGATGTGTATGTTTAACTCACAGAGTTTATCCTTTCTTTTCATAGAGCAGTTGGGAAACACTCTGTTTGAAAAGTCTGCATGTGGATATTTGGACCGCCATGAGGCGTTCTTTGGAAATGGTATTTCTTCATTTAAGGCTACACAGAAGAATTCTCAGTAACTTCCTTGTGTTGTGTGTATTCAGCTCACAGAGTTGAACCTTCTTTTAGATAGAGCAGATTTGAAAGACACTTTTTGGGGAATTTGCAAGTGGGGATTTCAAGCGCTTTGAGGCCAACGGTAGAAAAGGAAATATCTTCGAATAAAAAGTAGACAGAATCATTCCCAGAAACTGCGTTTTGATGTGTGCGTTCACCTAACAGAGTTTAACCTTCCTTTTCATAGAGCAGTTGGGAAACGCTATGTTTGTAAAGTCTGCAAGTGGATATTGGGAACTCTTTGAGGCCTTCATTGGGAATGGGGTTTCTTCATATAATGCTAGACAGAAGATTTCCCAGTAACTTCTTCCTGTTGTGTGTATTCAACTGACAACAGATGAACCTTCCTTTAGAGAGAGCAGATTTGAAACACTCTTTTTGTGGAATTTGCAAGTGGAGATTTCAGCCGCTTTAACGTCAATGGTGGAAAAGGAAATATCTTCGCATAAAAACAAGACAGAATCATTTTCAGAAACTGCTTTGTGATGTGTGCATTCAAATCACAGAGTTTAACCTTTGTTTTCCTAGAGCCGTTTGGAAACACACAGTTTGTCAAATCTGTAAGTCGATATTCGGACCTATTTGAGGCCTTCGTTGGAAACGGGATTTCTTCATATAATGCTAGAAAGAAGAATTCTCAGTAACTTCCTTGTGTTGTGTGTAATCAACTCACAGAATAGAACGTTCCTTTAGATAGAGCAGATTTGAAACACTCTTTTTGTGGAAGTTGCACGTGGAGATTTCAAGCGCTTTGTGGCCAGTGGTAGAAAATGAAATATCTTCGTATAAAAAGTACACAGAATCATTCTCAGAAGATACTTTGTGATGTGTGCGTTCAACTCAGTGAGTTTAACCTTTCAATTCATACAGCAGTTTGGAAACACTCTGTTTATAAAGTCTGCAAGAGGATAGTTGGACCTCTTTGATGCCTTCGTTGGAAACGGGATTTCTTCATATAATGCTACACAGAAGAATTCACAGTAACTTCTTTGTGTTATGTGTATTCAACTCACAGAGGTGAAAGTTCGTTTAGACACAGCAGATTTCATACACACTTTTTGTGTAATTTGCAACTGGAGATTTCAAGCGCTTTAATGTCAATGGTAGAAAAAGAAATATCTTCGTTTAAAAACTAGAGAGAATCATTCTCAGAAACTGCTTTGTGATGTGTGCGTTCAACTCACAGAGTTTCACTTATCTTTTCGTACAGCAGTTTGGAGACACTCTGTTTGTAATGTCTGCAAGTGGATATTTTGACCTCTTTGAGGTCTTCGTTGGAAACGGGTTTTATTCATGTAAGGCTAGACAGAAGAATTCTCAGTAACTTCTTTGTATTGTGTGTATTCCACTGACAGAGTTGACCCTTCCTTTAGACAGAGCACATTTGAACCACTCTTTTTGTGGAATTTGCAAGTGGAGATTTCAGACGCATTGAGGTCAATGGTAGAAAAGGAAATATCTTCGTATAAAAACTAGACAGAATGATTCTCAGAACCTGCTTCGTCATGTGTGTGTTCAGTTCAAAGAGTTTTACCTTTCTTTTCATAGAGCAGTTAGGAAACACTCTGTTTGAAAAGTCTGAAAGTGGATATTCCGATCTCTTTGAGGCCTTCGTTGGAAAAGGGATTTCTTCATATAATGCTAGACAGAGGAATTCTCAGTAACTTCTCTGTGTTGTGTGTATTCAAATCACAGAGTTGAACGTTCCTTTAGACAGAGCAGACTTGAAACACTCTTTTTGTGGAATTTGCAATAGGAAATTTCAAGCGCTTTGAGGCCAAAGGCAGAAGAGGAAATATCTTCGTATAAAAACAAGTCAGAATCATTCTCAGAAACTGATTTATCATGTGTGCGTTCAACTCACGGAGTTTAACCTACCTTTTCATACAGCAGTTTGGAAACACTCTGTTTGTAAAGTCTGCAAGTGGATATTTGGACTTCTTTGAGACCTTCGTTGGAAACGGGTTTTATTCATGTAAGGCTAGACAGAAGATTTCTCAGTAACTTCTTTGTGTTGTGTGTATTCAACTGACAGAGTTGACCCTTCTTTTAGGTAGAGCAGATTTGAGACACTCTTTTTGTGGAATTTGCAAGTGGAGATTTCAGACGCTTTGAGGTCAATGGTAGAAAAGGACATTTCTTCGTATAAAAACTTGACAGAATGATTCTCAGAAACTGCTTTGTGATGTATGCGTTCAATTCAAAGAGTTCTACCTTTCTTTTCATAGAGCACTTAGGAAACACTCTGTTTGTAAAGACTGCAAGTGGATATTCGGACCTCTATGAGGCCTTCTTTGGAAAAGGGATTTCTTCATATAATGCTAGACAGAGGAATTCTTCGTAACTTCTTTGTATTGTGTGTATTCAACTCACAGAGTTGAACCTTCTTTTAGATAGAGCAGATTTGAAACACACTTTCTGTGGAATTTCCAATTGGAGATTTCAAGCGCTTCGGGGCCAATGGTAGAAAAGGAAAAATCTTCACAAAAAAACTAGACAAAATCATTCCCAGAAACTGTGTAGTGATGTGTATGTTTAACTCACAGAGTTTATCCTTTCTTTTCATAGAGCAGTTGGGAAACACTCTGTTTGAAAAGTCTGCATGTGGATATTTGGACCGCCATGAGGCGTTCTTTGGAAATGGTATTTCTTCATTTAAGGCTACACAGAAGAAGTCTCAGTAACTTCCTTGTGTTGTGTGTATTCAGCTCACAGAGTTGAACCTTCTTTTAGATAGAGCAGATTTGAAAGACACTTTTTGGGGAATTTGCAAGTGGGGATTTCAAGCGCTTTGAGGCCAACGGTAGAAAAGGAAATATCTTCGAATAAAAAGTAGACAGAATCATTCCCAGAAACTGCGTTTTGATGTGTGCGTTCACCTAACAGAGTTTAACCTTCCTTTTCATAGAGCAGTTGGGAAACGCTATGTTTGTAAAGTCTGCAAGTGGATATTGGGAACTCTTTGAGGCCTTCATTGGGAATGGGGTTTCTTCATATAATGCTAGACAGAAGATTTCCCAGTAACTTCTTCCTGTTGTGTGTATTCAACTGACAACAGATGAACCTTCCTTTAGAGAGAGCAGATTTGAAACACTCTTTTTGTGGAAGTTGCAAGTGGAGATTTCAGCCGCTTTAACGTCAATGGTAGAAAAGGAAATATCTTCGCATAAAAACAAGACAGAATCATTTTCAGAAACTGCTTTGTGATGTGTGCATTCAACTCACAGAGTTTAACCTTTGTTTTCATAGAGCCGTTTGGAAACACACAGTTTGTCAAATCTGTAAGTCGATATTCGGACCTATTTGAGGCCTTCGTTGGAAACGGGATTTCTTCATATAATGCTAGAAAGAAGAATTCTCAGTAACTTCCTTGTGTTGTGTGTAATCAACTCACAGAATAGAACGTTCCTTTAGATAGAGCAGATTTGAAACACTCTTTTTGTGGAAGTTGCACGTGGAGATTTCAAGCGCTTTGTGACCAGTGGTAGAAAATGAAATATCTTCGTATAAAAAGTACACAGAATCATTCTCAGAAACTACTTTCTGATGTGTGCGTTCAACTCTCGGAGTTTAAACTTTCTTTTCATAGAGCAGTTTGGAAACAGTGTGTTTGTAAAGTCTGCAAGTGGATATTCAGACCTCTTTGGCGCCTTATTTTGAAACGGGGTTTCTCCATATAATGCTAGACAGAAGAATTCTCAATAACTTGTTTGTGTTGTGTGTGTTCAACTCACAGAGTTGAATCTTCTTTTAGACAGAGCAGATTTGAAACACTCTTTTTGTGGAATTTGCAAGTGGAGATTTCAAGCGCTTTGAGGCCAAAGGCAGAAAAGGAAATATCTTCGTATAAAAACTAGATAGAATCATTCTCAGAAACTGCTTTGTGATGTGTGCGTTCAACTCACAGAGTTTCACTTATCTTTTCGTACAGCAGTTTGGAGACACTCTGTTTGTAATGTCTGCAAGTGGATATTTTGACCTCTTTGAGGTCTTCGTTGGAAACGGGTTTTATTCATGTAAGGCTAGACAGAAGAATTCTCAGTAACTTCTTTGTATTGTGTGTATTCCACTGACAGAGTTGACCCTTCCTTTAGACAGAGCACATTTGAACCACTCTTTTTGTGGAATTTGCAAGTGGAGATTTCAGACGCATTGAGGTCAATGGTAGAAAAGGAAATATCTTCGTATAAAAACTAGACAGAATGATTCTCAGAACCTGCTTCGTCATGTGTGTGTTCAGTTCAAAGAGTTTTACCTTTCTTTTCATAGAGCAGTTAGGAAACACTCTGTTTGAACAGTCTGAAAGTGGATATTCCGATCTCTTTGAGGCCTTTGTTGGAAAAGGGATTTCTTCATATAATGCTAGACAGAGGAATTCTCAGTAACTTCTCTGTGTTGTGTGTATTCAAATCACAGAGTTGAACGTTCCTTTAGACAGAGCAGACTTGAAACACTCTTTTTGTGGAATTTGCAATAGGAAATTTCAAGCGCTTTGAGGCCAAAGGCAGAAGAGGAAATATCTTCGTATAAAAACAAGTCAGAATCATTCTCAGAAACTGCTTAATCATGTGTGCGTTCAACTCACGGAGTTTACCCTACCTTTTCATACAGCAGTTTGGAAACACTCTGTTTGTAAAGTCTGCACGTGGATATTTGGACATCTTTGAGGCCTTCGTTGGAAACGGGTTTTATTCATGTAAGGCTAGACAGAAGATTTCTCAGTAACTTCTTTGTGTTGTGTGTATTCAACTGACAGAGTTGACCCTTCTTTTAGGTAGAGCAGATTTGAGACACTCTTTTTGTGGAATTTGCAAGTGGAGATTTCAGACGCTTTGAGGTCAATGGTAGAAAAGGACATTTCTTCGTATAAAAACTTGACAGAATGATTCTCAGAAACTGCTTTGTGATGTATGCGTTCAATTCAAAGAGTTCTACCTTTCTTTTCATAGAGCACTTAGGAAACACTCTGTTTGTAAAGACTGCAAGTGGATATTCGGACCTCTATGAGGCCTTCTTTGGAAAAGGGATTTCTTCATATAATGCTAGACAGAGGAATTCTTCGTAACTTCTTTGTATTGTGTGTATTCAACTCACAGAGTTGAACCTTCTTTTAGATAGAGCAGATTTGAAACACACTTTCTGTGGAATTTCCAATTGGAGATTTCAAGTGCTTCGGGGCCAATGGTAGAAAAGGTAAAATCTTCACATAAAAACTAGACAAACTCATTCCCAGAAACTGTGTAGTGATGTGTATGTTTAACTCACAGAGTTTATCCTTTCTTTTCATAGAGCAGTTGGGAAACACTCTGTTTGAAAAGTCTGCATGTGGATATTTGGACCGCCATGAGGCGTTCTTTGGAAATGGTATTTCTTCATTTAAGGCTACACAGAAGAATTCTCAGTAACTTCCTTGTGTTGTGTGTATTCAGCTCACAGAGTTGAACCTTCTTTTAGATAGAGCAGATTTGAAAGACACTTTTTGGGGAATTTGCAAGTGGGGATTTCAAGCGCTTTGAGGCCAACGGTAGAAAAGGAAATATCTTCGAATAAAAAGTAGACAGAATCATTCCCAGAAACTGCGTTTTGATGTGTGCGTTCACCTAACAGAGTTTAACCTTCCTTTTCATAGAGCAGTTGGGAAACGCTATGTTTGTAAAGTCTGCAAGTGGATATTGGGAACTCTTTGAGGCCTTCATTGGGAATGGAGTTTCTTCATATAATGCTAGACAGAAGATTTCCCAGTAACTTCTTCCTGTTGTGTGTATTCAACTGACAACAGATGAACCTTCCTTTAGAGAGAGCAGATTTGAAACACTCTTTTTGTGGAATTTGCAAGTGGAGATTTCATCCGCTTTAACGTCAATGGTAGAAAAGGAAATATCTTCGCATAAAAACAAGACAGAATCATTTTCAGAAACTGCTTTGTGATGTGTGCATTCAACTCACAGAGTTTAACCTTTGTTTTCCTAGAGCCGTTTGGAAACACACAGTTTGTCAAATCTGTAAGTCGATATTCGGACCTATTTGAGGCCTTCGTTGGAAACGGGATTTCTTCATATAATGCTAGAAAGAAGAATTCTCAGTAACTTCCTTGTGTTGTGTGTAATCAACTCACAGAATAGAACGTTCCTTTAGATAGAGCAGATTTGAAACACTCTTTTTGTGGAAGTTGCACGTCGAGATTTCAAGCGCTTTGTGGCCAGTGGTAGAAAATGAAATATCTTCGTATAAAAAGTACACAGAATCATTCTCAGAAACTACTTTCTGATGTGTGCGTTCAACTCTCGGAGTTTAAACTTTCTTTTCATAGAGCAGTTTGTAAACAGTGTGTTTGTAAAGTCTGCAAGTGGATATTCGGACCTCTTTGGCGCCTTAATTTGAAACGGGGTTTCTCCCTATAATGCTAGACAGAAGACTTCTCAGTAACTTGTTTGTGTTGTGTGTGTTCAACTCACAGAGTTGAACCTTCCTTTAGACAGAGCAGATTTGAAACACTCTTTTTGTGGAATTTGCAAGTGGAGATTTCAAGCGCTTTGAGGCCAAAGGCAGAAAAGGAAATATCTTCGTATAAAAACTAGATAGATCATTCTCAGAAACTGCTTTGTGATGTGTGCGTTCAACTCACAGAGTTTCACTTATCTTTTCGTACAGCAGCTTGGAAACACTCTGTTTGTAATGTCTGCAAGTGGATATTTTGACCTCTTTTAGGTCTTCGTTGGAAACGGGTTTTATTCATGTAAGGCTAGACAGAAGAATTCTCAGTAACTTCTTTGTATTGTGTGTATTCCACTGACAGAGTTGACCCTTCCTTTAGACAGAGCACATTTGAACCACTCTTTTTGTGGAATTTGCAAGTGGAGATTTCAGACGCATTGAGGTCAATGGTAGAAAAGGAAATATCTTCTTATAAATACTAGACAGAATGATTCTCAGAACCTGCTTCGTGATGTGTGTGTTCAGTTCAAAGAGTTTTACCTTTCTTTTCATAGAGCAGTTAGAAAACACTCTGTTTGAACAGTCTGAAAGTGGATATTCCGATCTCTTTGAGGCCTTCATTGGAAAAGGGATTTCTTCATATAATGCTAGACAGAGGAATTCTCAGTAACTTCTCTGTGTTGTGTGTATTCAAATCACAGAGTTGAACGTTCCTTTAGACAGAGCAGACTTGAAACACTCTTTTTGTGGAATTTGCAATAGGAAATTTCAAGCGCTTTGAGGCCAAAGGCAGAAGAGGAAATATCTTCGTATAAAAAAAAGTCAGAATCATTCTCAGAAACTGCTGTATCATGTGTGCGTTCAACTCATGGAGTTTAACCTACCTTTTCATACAGCAGTTTGGAAACACTCTGTTTGTAAAGTCTGCACGTGGATATTTGGATATCTTTGAGGCCTTCGTTGGAAACGGGTTTTACTCATGTAAGGCTAGACAGAAGATTTCTCAGTAACTTCTTTGTGTTGTGTGTATTCAACTGACAGAGTTGACCCTTCTTTTAGGTAGAGCAGATTTGAAACACTCTTTTTGTGGAATTTGCAAGTGGAGATTTCAGACGCTTTGAGGTCAATGGTAGAAAAGGACATTTCTTCGTATAAAAACTTGACAGAATGATATCTCAGAAACTGCTTTGTGATGTATGCGTTCAATTCAAAGAGTTTTACCTTTGTTTTCATAGAGCACTTAGGAAACAATCGGTTTGTAAAGACTGCAAGTGGATATTCGGACCTCTATGAGGCCTTCTTTGGAAAAGGGATTTCTTCATATAATGCTAGACAGAGGAATTCTTAGTAACTTCTTTGTATTGTGTGTATTCAACTCACAGAGTTGAACCTTCTTTTAGAGAGAGTAGATTTGAAACACACTTTTTGTGGAATCTCCAATTGAGATTTCAAGCGCTTTGTGGCCAATGGTAGAAAAGGTAAAATCTTCACATAAAAACTAGACAAACTCATTCCCAGAAACTGTGGAGTGATGTGTATGTTTAACTCACAGAGTTTATCCTTTCTTTTCATAGAGCAGTTGGGAAACACTCTGTTTGAAAAGTCTGCATGTGGATATTTGGACCGCCATGAGGCGTTCTTTGGAAATGGTATTTCTTCATTTAAGGCTACACAGAAGAATTCTCAGTAACTTCCTTGTGTTGTGTGTATTCAGCTCACAGAGTTGAACCTTCTTTTAGATAGAGCAGATTTGAAAGACACTTTTTGGAGAATTTGCAAGTGGAGATTTCAAGCGCTTTGAGGCCAACGGTAGAAAAGGAAATATCTTCGAATAAAAAGTAGACAGAATCATTCCCAGAAACTGCGTTTTGATGTGTGCGTTCACCTAACAGAGTTTAAACTTCCTTTTCATAGAGCAGTTGGGAAACGCTATGTTTGTAAAGTCTGCAAGTGGATATTGGGAACTCTTTGAGGCCTTCATTGGGAATGGGGTTTCTTCATATAATGCTAGACAGAAGATTTCCCAGTAACTTCTTCCTGTTGTGTGTATTCAACTGACAACAGATGAACCTTCCTTTAGAGAGAGCAGATTTGAAACACTCTTTGTGTGGAATTTGCAAGTGGAGATTTCAGCCGCTTTAACGTCAATGGTAGAAAAGGAAATATCTTCGCATAAAAACTAGACAGAATCATTTTCAGAAACTGCTTTGTGATGTGTGCATTCAACTCACAGAGTTTAACCTTTGTTTTCATAGAGCCGTTTGGAAACACACAGTTTGTCAAATCTGTAATTCGATATTCGGACCTATTTGAGGCCTTCGTTGGAAACGGGATTTCTTCATATAATGCTAGAAAGAAGAATTCTCAGTAACTTCCTTGGGTTGTGTGTAATCAACTCACAGAATAGAACGTTCCTTTAGATAGAGCAGATTTGAAACACTCTTTTTGTGGAATTTGCACGTGGAGATTTCAAGCGCTTTGTGGCCAATGGTAGAAAATGAAATATCTTCGTATAAAAAGTACACAGAATCATTCTCAGAAACTACTTTCTGATGTGTGCATTCAACTCAAAGAGTTTAAACTTTCTTTTCATAGAGCAGTTTGGAAACAGTCTGTTTGTAAAGTCTGCAAGTGGATATTCGGACCTCTCTGGCGCCTTATTTTGAAACGGGGTTTCTCCATATAAGGCTAGACAGAAGAATTCTCAGTAACTTCTTTGTGTTGTGTGTATTCAACTCACAGAGTTGAACCTTCCTTTAGACAGAGCAGATTTGAAACACTCTTTTTGTGGAATTTGCAAGTGGAGATTTCAAGCGCTTTGAGGCCAATGGTAGAAAAGAATAATCTTCGTATAAAAACTAGACAGATCATTCTCAGAAACTGCTTTGTGATGTGTGCGTTCAACTCACAGAGTTTCACTTATCTTTTCGTACAGCAGCTTGGAAACACTCTGTTTGTAATGTCTGCAAGTGGATATTTTGACCTCTTTTAGGTCTTCGTTGGAAACGGGTTTTATTCATGTAAGGCTAGACAGAAGAATTCTCAGTAACTTCTTTGTATTGTGTGTATTCCACTGACAGAGTTGACCCTTCCTTTAGACAGAGCACATTTGAACCACTCTTTTTGTGGAATTTGCAAGTGGAGATTTCAGACGCATTGAGGTCAATGGTAGAAAAGGAAATATCTTCGTATAAAAACTAGACAGAATGATTCTCAGAACCTGCTTCGTGATGTGTGTGTTCAGTTCAAAGAGTTTTACCTTTCTTTTCATAGAGCAGTTAGGAAACACTCTGTTTGAACAGTCTGAAAGTGGATATTCCGATCTCTTTGAGGCCTTCGTTGGAAAAGGGATTTCTTCATATAATGCTAGACAGAGGAATTCTCAGTAACTTCTCTGTGTTGTGTGTATTCAAATCACAGAGTTGAACGTTCCTTTAGACAGAGCAGACTTGAAACACTCTTTTTTGTGGAATTTGCAATAGGAAATTTCAAGCGCTTTGAGGCCAAAGGCAGAAGAGGAAATATCTTCGTATAAAAACAAGTCAGAATCATTCTCAGAAACTGCTTAATCATGTGTGCGTTCGACTCACGGAGTTTAACCTACCTTTTCATACAGCAGTTTGGAAACACTCTGTTTGTAAAGTCTGCACGTGGATATTTGGACATCTTTGAGGCCTTCGTTGGAAACGGGTTTTATTCATGTAAGGCTAGACAGAAGATTTCTCAGTAACTTCTTTGTGTTGTGTGTATTCAACTGACAGAGTTGACCCTTCTTTTAGGTAGAGCAGATTTGACACACTCTTTTTGTGGAATTTGCAAGTGGAGATTTCAGACGCTTTGAGGTCAATGGTAGAAAAGGACATTTCTTCGTATAAAAACTTGACAGAATGATTCTCAAAACTGCTTTGTGATGTATGCGTTCAATTCAAAGAGTTCTACCTTTCTTTTCATAGAGCACTTAGGAAACACTCTGTTTGTAAAGACTGCAAGTGGATATTCGGACCTCTATGAGGCCTTCTTTGGAAAAGGGATTTCTTCATATAATGCTAGACAGAGGAATTCTTCGTAACTTCTTTGTATTGTGTGTATTCAACTCACAGAGTTGAACCTTCTTTTAGATAGAGCAGATTTGAAACACACTTTCTGTGGAATTTCCAATTGGAGATTTCAAGCGCTTCGGGGCCAATGGTAGAAAAGGAAAAATCTTCACAAAAAAACTAGACAAAATCATTCCCAGAAACTGTGTAGTGATGTGTATGTTTAACTCACAGAGTTTATCCTTTCTTTTCATAGAGCAGTTGGGAAACACTCTGTTTGAAAAGTCTGCATGTGGATATTTGGTCCGCCATGAGGCGTTCTTTGGAAATGGTATTTCTTCATTTAAGGCTACACAGAAGAAGTCTCAGTAACTTCCTTGTGTTGTGTGTATTCAGCTCACAGAGTTGAACCTTCTTTTAGATAGAGCAGATTTGAAAGACACTTTTTGGGGAATTTGCAAGTGGGGATTTCAAGCGCTTTGAGGCCAACGGTAGAAAAGGAAATATCTTCGAATAAAAAGTAGACAGAATCATTCCCAGAAACTGCGTTTTGATGTGTGCGTTCACCTAACAGAGTTTAACCTTCCTTTTCATAGAGCAGTTGGGAAACGCTATGTTTGTAAAGTCTGCAAGTGGATATTGGGAACTCTTTGAGGCCTTCATTGGGAATGGGGTTTCTTCATATAATGCTAGACAGAAGATTTCCCAGTAACTTCTTCCTGTTGTGTGTATTCAACTGACAACAGATGAACCTTCCTTTAGAGAGAGCAGATTTGAAACACTCTTTTTGTGGAATTTGCAAGTGGAGATTTCAGCCGCTTTAACGTCAATGGTAGAAAAGGAAATATCTTCGCATAAAAACAAGACAGAATCATTTTCAGAAACTGCTTTGTGATGTGTGCATTCAACTCACAAAGTTTAACCTTTGTTTTCATAGAGCCATTTGGAAACACACAGTTTGTCTAACCTGTAAGTCGATATTCGGACCTATTTGAGGCCTTCGTTGGAAACGGGATTTCTTCATATAATGCTAGAAAGAAGAATTCTCAGTAACTTCCTTGTGTTGTGTGTAATCAACTCACAGAATAGAACGTTCCTTTAGATAGAGCAGATTTGAAACACTCTTTTTGTGGAAGTTGCACGGGGAGATTTCAAGCGCTTTGTGGCCAGTGGTAGAAAATGAAATATCTTCGTATAAAAAGTACACAGAATCATTCTCAGAAACTACTTTCTGATGTGTGCGTTCAACTCTCGGAGTTTAAACTTCCTTTTCATAGAGCAGTTTGGAAACAGTGTGTTTGTAAAGTCTGCAAGTGGATATTCGGACCTCTTTGGCGCCTTATTTTGAAACGGGGTTTCTCCATGTAATGCTAGACAGAAGAATTCTCAGTAACTTGTTTGTGTTGTGTGTGTTCAACTCACAGAGTTGAACCTTCCTTTAGACAGAGCAGATTTGAAACACTCTTTTTGTGGAATTTGCAAGTGGAGATTTCAAGCGCTTTGAGGCCAAAGGCAGAAAAGGAAATATCTTCGTATAAAAACTAGATAGATCATTCTCAGAAACTGCTTTGTGATGTGTGCGTTCAACTCACAGAGTTTCACTTATCTTTTCGTACAGCAGCTTGGAAACACTCTGTTTGTAATGTCTGCAAGTGGATATTTTGACCTCTTTTAGGTCTTCGTTGGAAACGGGTTTTATTCATGTAAGGCTAGACAGAAGAATTCTCAGTAACTTCTTTGTATTGTGTGTATTCCACTGACAGAGTTGACCCTTCCTTTAGACAGAGCACATTTGAACCACTCTTTTTGTGGAATTTGCAAGTGGAGATTTCAGACGCATTGAGGTCAATGGTAGAAAAGGAAATATCTTCGTATAAAAACTAGACAGAATGATTCTCAGAACCTGCTTCGTGATGTGTGTGTTCAGTTCAAAGAGTTTTACCTTTCTTTTCATAGAGCAGTTAGGAAACACTCTGTTTGAACAGTCTGAAAGTGGATATTCCGATCTCTTTGAGGCCTTTGTTGGAAAAGGGATTTCTTCATATAATGCTAGACAGAGGAATTCTCAGTAACTTCTCTGTGTTGTGTGTATTCAAATCACAGAGTTGAACGTTCCTTTAGACAGAGCAGACTTGAAACACTCTTTTTGTGGAATTTGCAATAGGAAATTTCAAGCACTTTGAGGCCAAAGGCAGAAGAGGAAATATCTTCGTATAAAAGCAAGTCAGAATCATTCTCAGAAACTGCTTAATCATGTGTGCGTTCGACTCACGGAGTTTAACCTACCTTTTCATACAGCAGTTTGGAAACACTCTGTTTGTAAAGTCTGCACGTGGATATTTGGACATCTTTGAGGCCTTCGTTGGAAACGGGTTTTATTCATGTAAGGCTAGACAGAAGATTTCTCAGTAACTTCTTTGTGTTGTGTGTATTCAACTGACAGAGTTGACCCTTCTTTTAGGTAGAGCAGATTTGAGACACTCTTTTTGTGGAATTTGCAAGTGGAGATTTCAGACGCTTTGAGGTCAATGGTAGAAAAGGACATTTCTTCGTATAAAAACTTGACAGAATGATTCTCAGAAACTGCTTTGTGATGTATGCGTTCAATTCAAAGAGTTCTACCTTTCTTTTCATAGAGCACTTAGGAAACACTCTGTTTGTAAAGACTGCAAGTGGATATTCGGACCTCTATGTGGCCTTCTTTGGAAAAGGGATTTCTTCATATAATGCTAGACAGAGGAATTCTTCGTAACTTCTTTGTATTGTGTGTATTCAACTCACAGAGTTGAACCTTCTTTTAGATAGAGCAGATTTGACACACACTTTCTGTGGAATTTCCAATTGGAGATTTCAAGCGCTTCGGGGCCAATGGTAGAAAAGGAAAAATCTTCACATAAAAACTAGACAAAAATCATTCCCAGAAACTGTGTAGTGATGTGTATGTTTAACTCACAGAGTTTATCCTTTCTTTTCATAGAGCAGTAGGGAAACACTCTGTTTGAAAAGTCTGCATGTGGATATTTGGACCGCCATGAGGCGTTCTTTGGAAATGGTATTTCTTCATTTAAGGCTACACAGAAGAATTCTCAGTAACTTCCTTGTGTTGTGTGTATTCAGCTCACAGAGTTGAACCTTCTTTTAGATAGAGCAGATTTGAAAGACACTTTTTGGGGAATTTGCAAGTGGGGATTTCAAGCGCTTTGAGGCCAACGGTAGAAAAGGAAATATCTTCGAATAAAAAGTAGACAGAATCATTCCCAGAAACTGCGTTTTGATGTGTGCGTTCACCTAACAGAGTTTAACCTTCCTTTTCATAGAGCAGTTGGGAAACGCTATGTTTGTAAAGTCTGCAAGTGGATATTGGGAACTCTTTGAGGCCTTCATTGGGAATGGGGTTTCTTCATATAATGCTAGACAGAAGATTTCCCAGTAACTTCTTCCTGTTGTGTGTATTCAACTGACAACAGATGAACCTTCCTTTAGAGAGAGCAGATTTGAAACACTCTTTTTGTGGAATTTGCAAGTGGAGATTTCAGCCGCTTTAACATCAATGGTAGAAAAGGAAATATCTTCGCATAAAAACAAGACAGAATCATTTTCAGAAACTGCTTTGTGATGTGTGCATTCAACTCACAGAGTTTAACCTTTGTTTTCCTAGAGCCGTTTGGAAACACACAGTTTGTCAAATCTGTAAGTCGATATTCGGACCTATTTGAGGCCTTCGTTGGAAACGGGATTTCTTCATATAATGCTAGAAAGAAGAATTCTCAGTAACTTCCTTGTGTTGTGTGTAATCAACACACAGAATAGAACGTTCCTTTAGATAGAGCAGATTTGAAACACTCTTTTTGTGGAAGTTGCACGTGGAGATTTCAAGCGCTTTGTGACCAGTGGTAGAAAATGAAATATCTTCGTATAAAAAGTACACAGAATCATTCTCAGAAACTACTTTCTGATGTGTGCGTTCAACTCTCGGAGTTTAAACTTTCTTTTCATAGAGCAGTTTGGAAACAGTGTGTTTGTAAAGTCTGCAAGTGGATATTCGGACCTCTTTGGCGCCTTATTTTGAAACGGGGTTTCTCCATATAATGCTAGACAGAAGAATTCTCAGTAACTTGTTTGTGTTGTGTGTGTTCAACTCACAGAGTTGAACCTTCCTTTAGACAGAGCAGATTTGAAACACTCTTTTTGTGGAATTTGCAAGTGGAGATTTCAAGCGCTTTGAGGCCAAAGGCAGAAAAGGAAATATCTTCGTATAAAAACTAGATAGATCATTCTCAGAAACTGCTTTGTGATGTGTGCGTTCAACTCACAGAGTTTCACTTATCTTTTCGTACAGCAACTTGGAAACACTCTGTTTGTAATGTCTGCAAGTGGATATTTTGACCTCTTTTAGGTCTTCGTTGGAAACGGGTTTTATTCATGTAAGGCTAGACAGAAGAATTCTCAGTAACTTCTTTGTGTTGTGTGTATTCAACTGACAGAGTTGAGCCTTCCTTTAAACAGAGCACATTTGAAACTGTCTTTTTGTGGAATTTTCAAGCGGAGATTTCATACGCTTGAGGCCAATGGTAGAAAAGGAAATATCTTCGTATAAAAATTAGACAGAATGATTCTCAGAACCTGCTTCGTCATGTGTGTGTTCAGTTCAAAGAGTTTTACCTTTCTTTTCATAGAGCAGTTAGGAAACACTCTGTTTGAAAAGTCTGAAAGTGGATATTCCGATCTCTTTGAGGCCTTCGTTGGAAAAGGGATTTCTTCATATAATGCTAGACAGAGGAATTCTCAGTAACTTCTCTGTGTTGTGTGTATTCAAATCACAGAGTTGAACGTTCCTTTAGACAGAGCAGACTTGAAACACTCTTTTTTGTGGAAGTTGCAATAGGAAATTTCAAGCGCTTTGAGGCCAAAGGCAGAAGAGGATATATCTTCGTATAAAAACAAGTCAGAATCATTCTCAGAAACTGCTTAATCATGTGTGCGTTCAACTCACGGAGTTTAACCTAACTTTTCATACAGCAGTTTGGAAACACTCTGTTTGTAAAGTCTGCACGTGGATATTTGGACATCTTTGAGGCCTTCGTTGGAAACGGGTTTTATTCATGTAAGGCTAGACAGAAGATTTCTCAGTAACTTCTTTGTGTTGTGTGTATTCAACTGACAGAGTTGACCCTTCTTTTAGGTAGAGCAGATTTGACACACTCTTTTTGTGGAATTTGCAAGTGGAGATTTCAGACGCTTTGAGGTCAATGGTAGAAAAGGACATTTCTTCGTATAAAAACTTGACAGAATGATTCTCAGAAACTGCTTTGTGATGTATGCGTTCAATTCAAAGAGTTCTACCTTTCTTTTCATAGAGCACTTAGGAAACACTCTGTTTGTAAAGACTGCAAGTGGATATTCGGACCTCTATGAGGCCTTCTTTGGAAAAGGGATTTCTTCATATAATGCTAGACAGAGGAATTCTTCGTAACTTCTTTGTATTGTGTGTATTCAACTCACAGAGTTGAACCTTCTTTTAGATAGAGCAGATTTGAAACACACTTTTTGTGGAATTTCCAATTGGAGATTTCAAGCGCTTCGGGGCCAATGGTGGAAAAGGAAAAATCTTCACATAAAAACTAGACAAACTCATTCCCAGAAACTGTGTAGTGATGTGTATGTTTAACTCACAGAGTTTATCCTTTCTTTTCATAGAGCAGTTGGGAAACACTCTGTTTGAAAAGTCTGCATGTGGATATTTGGACCGCCATGAGGCGTTGCTTTGGAAATGGTATTTCTTCATTTAAGGCTACACAGAAGAATTCTCAGTAACTTCCTTGTGTTGTGTGTATTCAGCTCACAGAGTTGAACCTTCTTTTAGATAGAGCAGATTTGAAAGACACTTTTTGGGGAATTTGCAAGTGGGGATTTCAAGCGCTTTGAGGCCAACGGTAGAAAAGGAAATATCTTCGAATAAAAAGTAGACAGAATCATTCCCAGAAACTGCGTTTTGATGTGTGCGTTCACCTAACAGAGTTTAACCTTCCTTTTCATAGAGCAGTTGGGAAACGCTATGTTTGTAAAGTCTGCAAGTGGATATTGGGAACTCTTTGAGGCCTTCATTGGGAATGGGGTTTCTTCATATAACGCTAGACAGAAGATTTCCCAGTAACTTCTTCCTGTTGTGTGTATTCAACTGACAACAGATGAACCTTCCTTTAGAGAGAGCAGATTTGAAACACTTTTTTTGTGGAATTTGCAAGTGGAGATTTCAGCCGCTTTAACGTCAATGGTAGAAAAGGAAATATCTTCGCATAAAAACAAGACAGAATCATTTTCAGAAACTGCTTTGTGATGTGTGCATTCAACTCACAGAGTTTAACCTTTGTTTTCATAGAGCCGTTTGGAAACACACAGTTTGTCAAATCTGTAAGTCGATATTCGGACCTATTTGAGGCCTTCGTTGGAAACGGGATTTCTTCATATAATGCTAGAAAGAAGAATTCTCAGTAACTTCCTTGTGTTGTGTGTAATCAACTCACAGAATAGAACGTTCCTTTAGATAGAGCAGATTTGAAACACTCTTTTTGTGGAAGTTGCACGTGGAGATTTCAAGCGCTTTGTGGCCAGTGGTAGAAAATGAAATATCTTCGTATAAAAAGTACACAGAATCATTCTCAGAAACTACTTTCTGATGTGTGCGTTCAACTCTCGGAGGTTAAACTTTCTTTTCATAGAGCAGTTTGGAAACAGTGTGTTTGTAAAGTCTGCAAGTGGATATTCGGACCTCTTTGGCGCCTTAATTTGAAACGGGGTTTCTCCCTATAATGCTAGACAGAAGAATTCTCAGTAACTTGTTTGTGTTGTGTGTGTTCAACTCACAGAGTTGAACCTTCCTTTAGACAGAGCAGATTTGAAACACTCTTTTTGTGGAATTTGCAAGTGGAGATTTCAAGCGCTTTGAGGCCAAAGGCAGAAAAGGAAATATCTTCGTATAAAAACTAGATAGATCATTCTCAGAAACTGCTTTGTGATGTGTGCGTTCAACTCACAGAGTTTCACTTATCTTTTCGTACAGCAGTTTGGAAACACTCTGTTTGTAATGTCTGCAAGTGGATATTTTGACCTCTTTGAGGTCTTCGTTGGAAACGGGTTTTATTCATGTAAGGCTAGACAGAAGAATTCTCAGTAACTTCTTTGTATTGTGTGTATTCCACTGACAGAGTTGACCCTTCCTTTAGACAGAGCACATTTGAACTACTCTTTTTGTGGAATTTGCAAGTGGAGATTTCAGAGGCATTGAGGTCAATGGTAGAAAAGGAAATATCTTCGTATAAAAACTAGACAGAATGATTCTCAGAACCTGCTTCGTGATGTGTGTGTTCAGTTCAAAGAGTTTTACCTTTCTTTTCATAGAGCAGTTAGGAAACACTCTGTTTGAACAGTCTGAAAGTGGATATTCCGATCTCTTTGAGGCCTTCGTTGGAAAAGGGATTTCTTCATATAATGCTAGACAGAGGAATTCTCAGTAACTTCTCTGTGTTGTGTGTATTCAAATCACAGAGTTGAACGTTCCTTTAGACAGAGCAGACTTGAAACACTCTTTTTGTGGAATTTGCAATAGGAAATTTCAAGCGCTTTGAGGCCAAAGGCAGAAGAGGAAATATCTTCGTATAAAAACAAGTCAGAATCATTCTCAGAAACTGCTTAATCATGTGTGCGTTCGACTCACGGAGTTTAACCTACCTTTTCATACAGCAGTTTGGAAACACTCTGTTTGTAAAGTCTGCACGTGGATATTTGGACATCTTTGAGGCCTTCGTTGGAAACGGGTTTTATTCATGTAAGGCTAGACAGAAGATTTCTCAGTAACTTCTTTGTGTTGTGTGTATTCAACTGACAGAGTTGACCCTTCTTTTAGGTAGAGCAGATTTGAAACACTCTTTTTGTGGAATTTGCAAGTGGAGATTTCAGACGCTTTGAGGTCAATGGTAGAAAAGGACATTTCTTCATATAAAAACTTGACAGAATGATTCTCAGAAACTGCTTTGTGATGTATGCGTTCAATTCAAAGAGTTCTACCTTTCTTTTCATAGAGCACTTAGGAAACACTCTGTTTGTAAAGACTGCAAGTGGATATTCGGACCTCTATGAGGCCTTCTTTGGAAAAGGGATTTCTTCATATAATGCTAGACAGAGGAATTCTTCGTAACTTCTTTGTATTGTGTGTATTCAACTCACAGAGTTGAACCTTCTTTTAGATAGAGCAGATTTGAAACACACTTTCTGTGGAATTTCCAATTGGAGATTTCAAGTGCTTCGGGGCCAATGGTAGAAAAGGTAAAATCTTCACATAAAAACTAGACAAACTCATTCCCAGAAACTGTGTAGTGATGTGTATGTTTAACTCACAGAGTTTATCCTTTCTTTTCATAGAGCAGTTGGGAAACACTCTGTTTGAAAAGTCTGCATGTGGATATTTGGACCGCCATGAGGCGTTCTTTGGAAATGGTATTTCTTCATTTAAGGCTACACAGAAGAATTCTCAGTAACTTTCCTTGTGTTGTGTGTATTCAGCTCACAGAGTTGAACCTTCTTTTAGATAGAGCAGATTTGAAAGACACTTTTTGGGGAATTTGCAAGTGGGGATTTCAAGCGCTTTGAGGCCAACGGTAGAAAAGGAAATATCTTCGAATAAAAAGTAGACAGAATCATTCCCAGAAACTGCGTTTTGATGTGTGCGTTCACCTAACAGAGTTTAACCTTCCTTTTCATAGAGCAGTTGGGAAACGCTATGTTTGTAAAGTCTGCAAGTGGATATTGGGAACTCTTTGAGGCCTTCATTGGGAATGGGGTTTCTTCATATAATGCTAGACAGAAGATTTCCCAGTAACTTCTTCCTGTTGTGTGTATTCAACTGACAACAGATGAACCTTCCTTTAGAGAGAGCAGATTTGAAACACTCTTTTTGTGGAAGTTGCAAGTGGAGATTTCAGCCGCTTTAACGTCAATGGTAGAAAAGGAAATATCTTCGCATAAAAACAAGACAGAATCATTTTCAGAAACTGCTTTGTGATGTGTGCATTCAACTCACAGAGTTTAACCTTTGTTTTCATAGAGCCGTTTGGAAACACACAGTTTGTCAAATCTGTAAGTCGATATTCGGACCTATTTGAGGCCTTCGTTGGAAACGGGATTTCTTCATATAATGCTAGAAAGAAGAATTCTCAGTAACTTCCTTGTGTTGTGTGTAATCAACTCACAGAATAGAACGTTCCTTTAGATAGAGCAGATTTGAAACACTCTTTTTGTGGAAGTTGCACGTGGAGATTTCAAGCGCTTTGTGACCAGTGGTAGAAAATGAAATATCTTCGTATAAAAAGTACACAGAATCATTCTCAGAAACTACTTTCTGATGTGTGCGTTCAACTCTCGGAGTTTAAACTTTCTTTTCATAGAGCAGTTTGGAAACAGTGTGTTTGTAAAGTCTGCAAGTGGATATTCGGACCTCTTTGGCGCCTTATTTTGAAACGGGGTTTCTCCATATAATGCTAGACAGAAGAATTCTCAGTAACTTGTTTGTGTTGTGTGTGTTCAACTCACAGAGTTGAACCTTCCTTTAGACAGAGCAGATTTGAAACACTCTTTTTGTGGAATTTGCAAGTGGAGATTTCAAGCGCTTTGAGGCCAAAGGCAGAAAAGGAAATATCTTCGTATAAAAACTAGATAGATCATTCTCAGAAACTGCTTTGTGATTTGTGCGTTCAACTCACAGAGTTTCACTTATCTTTTCGTACAGCAGCTTGGAAACACTCTGTTTGTAATGTCTGCAAGTGGATATTTTGACCTCTTTTAGGTCTTCGTTGGAAACGGGTTTTATTCATGTAAGGCTAGACAGAAGAATTCTCAGTAACTTCTTTGTATTGTGTGTATTCCACTGACAGAGTTGACCCTTCCTTTAGACAGAGCACATTTGAACCACTCTTTTTGTGGAATTTGCAAGTGGAGATTTCAGACGCATTGAGGTCAATGGTAGAAAAGGAAATATCTTCGTATAAAAACTAGACAGAATGATTCTCAGAACCTGCTTCGTGATGTGTGTGTTCAGTTCAAAGAGTTTTACCTTTCTTTTCATAGAGCAGTTAGGAAACACTCTGTTTGTAAACTCTGCAAGTGGATATTCAGACCTCTTTGAGGCCTTTGTTGGAAAAGGGATTTCTTCATATAATGCTAGACAGAGGAATTCTCAGTAACTTCTCTGTGTTGTGTGTATTCAAATCACAGAGTTGAACGTTCCTTTAGACAGAGCAGACTTGAAACACTCTTTTTGTGGAATTTGCAATAGGAAATTTCAAGCGCTTTGAGGCCAAAGGCAGAAGAGGAAATATCTTCGTATAAAAACAAGTCAGAATCATTCTCAGAAACTGCTTAATCATGTGTGCGTTCGACTCACGGAGTTTAACCTACCTTTTCATACAGCAGTTTGGAAACACTCTGTTTGTAAAGTCTGCACGTGGATATTTGGACATCTTTGAGGCCTTCGTTGGAAACGGGTTTTATTCATGTAAGGCTAGACAGAAGATTTCTCAGTAACTTCTTTGTGTTGTGTGTATTCAACTGACAGAGTTGACCCTTCTTTTAGGTAGAGCAGATTTGAGACACTCTTTTTGTGGAATTTGCAAGTGGAGATTTCAGACGCTTTGAGGTCAATGGTAGAAAAGGACATTTCTTCGTATAAAAACTTGACAGAATGATTCTCAGAAACTGCTTTGTGATGTATGCGTTCAATTCAAATAGTTCTACCTTTCTTTTCATAGAGCACTTAGGAAACACTCTGTTTGTAAAGACTGCAAGTGGATATTCGGACCTCTATGAGGCCTTCTTTGGAAAAGGGATTTCTTCATATAATGCTAGACAGAGGAATTCTTCGTAACTTCTTTGTATTGTGTGTATTCAACTCACAGAGTTGAACCTTCTTTTAGATAGAGCAGATTTGAAACACACTTTCTGTGGAATTTCCAATTGGAGATTTCAAGCGCTTCGGGGCCAATGGTAGAAAAGGAAAAATCTTCACAAATAAACTAGACAAAATCATTCCCAGAAACTGTGTAGTGATGTGTATGTTTAACTCACAGAGTTTATCCTTTCTTTTCATAGAGCAGTTGGGAAACACTCTGTTTGAAAAGTCTGCATGTGGATATTTGGACCGCCATGAGGCGTTCTTTGGAAATGGTATTTCTTCATTTAAGGCTACACAGAAGAAGTCTCAGTAACTTCCTTGTGTTGTGTGTATTCAGCTCACAGAGTTGAACCTTCTTTTAGATAGAGCAGATTTGAAAGACACTTTTTGGGGAATTTGCAAGTGGGGATTTCAAGCGCTTTGAGGCCAACGGTAGAAAAGGAAATATCTTCGAATAAAAAGTAGACAGAATCATTCCCAGAAACTGCGTTTTGATGTGTGCGTTCACCTAACAGAGTTTAACCTTCCTTTTCATAGAGCAGTTGGGAAACGCTATGTTTGTAAAGTCTGCAAGTGGATATTGCGAACTCTTTGAGGCCTTCATTGGGAATGGGGTTTCTTCATATAATGCTAGACAGAAGATTTCCCAGTAACTTCTTCCTGTTGTGTGTATTCAACTGACAACAGATGAACCTTCCTTTAGAGAGAGAAGATTTGAAAAACTCTTTTTGTGGAATTTGCACGTGGAGATTTCAAGCGCTTTGTGGCCAGTGGTAGAAAATGAAATATCTTCGTATAAAAAGTACACAGAATCATTCTCAGAAACTACTTTCTGATGTGTGCGTTCAACTCTCGGAGTTTAAACTTTCTTTTCATAGAGCAGTTTGGAAACAGTGTGTTTGTAAAGTCTGCAAGTGGATATTCGGACCTCTTTGGCGCCTTATTTTGAAACGGGGTTTCTCCATATAATGCTAGACAGAAGAATTCTCAGTAACTTGTTTGTGTTGTGTGTGTTCAACTCACAGAGTTGAACCTTCCTTTAGACAGAGCAGATTTGAAACACTCTTTTTGTGGAATTTGCAAGTGGAGATTTCAAGCGCTTTGAGGCCAAAGGCAGAAAAGGAAATATCTTCGTATAAAAACTAGATAGATCATTCTCAGAAACTGCTTTGTGATTTGTGCGTTCAACTCACAGAGTTTCACTTATCTTTTCGTACAGCAGCTTGGAAACACTCTGTTTGTAATGTCTGCAAGTGGATATTTTGACCTCTTTTAGGTCTTCGTTGGAAACGGGTTTTATTCATGTAAGGCTAGACAGAAGAATTCTCAGTAACTTCTTTGTATTGTGTGTATTCCACTGACAGAGTTGACCCTTCCTTTAGACAGAGCACATTTGAACCACTCTTTTTGTGGAATTTGCAAGTGGAGATTTCAGACGCATTGAGGTCAATGGTAGAAAAGGAAATATCTTCGTATAAAAACTAGACAGAATGATTCTCAGAACCTGCTTCGTGATGTGTGTGTTCAGTTCAAAGAGTTTTACCTTTCTTTTCATAGAGCAGTTAGGAAACACTCTGTTTGAACAGTCTGAAAGTGGATATTCCGATCTCTTTGAGGCCTTTGTTGGAAAAGGGATTTCTTCATATAATGCTAGACAGAGGAATTCTCAGTAACTTCTCTGTGTTGTGTGTATTCAAATCACAGAGTTGAACGTTCCTTTAGACAGAGCAGACTTGAAACACTCTTTTTGTGGAATTTGCAATAGGAAATTTCAAGCGCTTTGAGGCCAAAGGCAGAAGAGGAAATATCTTCGTATAAAAACAAGTCAGAATCATTCTCAGAAACTGCTTAATCATGTGTGCGTTCGACTCACGGAGTTTAACCTACCTTTTCATACAGCAGTTTGGAAACACTCTGTTTGTAAAGTCTGCACGTGGATATTTGGACATCTTTGAGGCCTTCGTTGGAAACGGGTTTTATTCATGTAAGGCTAGACAGAAGATTTCTCAGTAACTTCTTTGTGTTGTGTGTATTCAACTGACAGAGTTGACCCTTCTTTTAGGTAGAGCAGATTTGAGACACTCTTTTTGTGGAATTTGCAAGTGGAGATTTCAGACGCTTTGAGGTCAATGGTAGAAAAGGAC
Organism: Homo sapiens; assembly: GCF_000001405.40. Classification (NCBI taxonomy): domain Eukaryota; kingdom Metazoa; phylum Chordata; class Mammalia; order Primates; family Hominidae; genus Homo; species Homo sapiens. Next base: position 47,181,297 of record NC_000005.10, read on the forward strand.
ATTTCTTCGTATAAAAACTTGACAGAATGATTCTCAGAAAACTGCTTTGTGATGTATGCGTTCAATTCAAAGAGTTCTACCTTTCTTTTCATAGAGCACTTAGGAAACACTCTGTTTGTAAAGACTGCAAGTGGATATTCGGACCTCTATGAGGCCTTCTTTGGAAAAGGGATTTCTTCATATAATGCTAGACAGAGGAATTCTTCGTAACTTCTTTGTATTGTGTGTATTCAACTCACAGAGTTGAACCTTCTTTTAGATAGAGCAGATTTGAAACACACTTTCTGTGGAATTTCCAATTGGAGATTTCAAGCGCTTCAGGGCCAATGGTAGAAAAGGAAAAATCTTCACATAAAAACTAGACAAAATCATTCCCAGAAACTGTGTAGTGATGTGTATGTTTAACTCACAGAGTTTATCCTTTCTTTTCATAGAGCAGTTGGGAAACACTCTGTTTGAAAAGTCTGCATGTGGATATTTGGACCGCCATGAGGCGTTCTTTGGAAATGGTATTTCTTCATTTAAGGCTACACAGAAGAATTCTCAGTAACTTCCTTGTGTTGTGTGTATTCAGCTCACAGAGTTGAACCTTCTTTTAGATAGAGCAGATTTGAAAGACACTTTTTGGGGAATTTGCAAGTGGGGATTTCAAGCGCTTTGAGGCCAACGGTAGAAAAGGAAATATCTTCGAATAAAAAGTAGACAGAATCATTCCCAGAAACTGCGTTTTGATGTGTGCGTTCACCTAACAGAGTTTAACCTTCCTTTTCATAGAGCAGTTGGGAAACGCTATGTTTGTAAAGTCTGCAAGTGGATATTGGGAACTCTTTGAGGCCTTCATTGGGAATGGGGTTTCTTCATATAATGCTAGACAGAAGATTTCCCAGTAACTTCTTCCTGTTGTGTGTATTCAACTGACAACAGATGAACCTTCCTTTAGAGAGAGCAGGTTTGAAACACTCTTTTTGTGGAATTTGCAAGTGGAGATTTCAGCCGCTTTAACGTCAATGGTAGAAAAGGAAATATCTTCGCATAAAAACAAGACAGAATCATTTTCAGAAACTGCTTTGTGATGTGTGCATTCAACTCACAGAGTTTAACCTTTGTTTTCCTAGAGCCGTTTGGAAACACACAGTTTGTCAAATCTGTAAGTCGATATTCGGACCTATTTGAGGCCTTCGTTGGAAACGGGATTTCTTCATATAATGCTAGAAAGAAGAATTCTCAGTAACTTCCTTGTGTTCTGTGTAATCAACTCACAGAATAGAACGTTCCTTTAGATAGAGCAGATTTGAAACACTCTTTTTGTGGAAGTTGCACGTGGAGATTTCAAGCGCTTTGTGGCCAGTGGTAGAAAATGAAATATCTTCGTATAAAAAGTACACAGAATCATTCTCAGAAACTACTTTCTGATGTGTGCGTTCAACTCTCGGAGTTTAAACTTTCTTTTCATAGAGCAGTTTGGAAACAGTGTGTTTGTAAAGTCTGCAAGTGGATATTCGGACCTCTTTGGCGCCTTATTTTGAAACGGGGTTTCTCCATATAATGCTAGACAGAAGACTTCTCAGTAACTTGTTTGTGTTGTGTGTGTTCAACTCACAGAGTTGAACCTTCCTTTAGACAGAGCAGATTTGAAACACTCTTTTTGTGGAATTTGCAAGTGGAGATTTCAAGCGCTTTGAGGCCAAAGGCAGAAAAGGAAATATCTTCGTATAAAAACTAGATAGATCATTCTCAGAAACTGCTTTGTGATGTGTGCGTTCAACTCACAGAGTTTCACTTATCTTTTCGTACAGCAGTTTGGAAACACTCTGTTTGTAATGTCTGCAAGTGGATATTTTGACCTCTTTGAGGTCTTCGTTGGAAACGGGTTTTATTCATGTAAGGCTAGACAGAAGAATTCTCAGTAACTTCTTTGTATTGTGTGTATTCCACTGACAGAGTTGACCCTTCCTTTAGACAGAGCACATTTGAACCACTCTTTTTGTGGAATTTGCAAGTGGAGATTTCAGACGCATTGAGGTCAATGGTAGAAAAGGAAATATCTTCGTATAAAAACTAGACAGAATGATTCTCAGAACCTGCTTCGTGATGTGTGTGTTCAGTTCAAAGAGTTTTACCTTTCTTTTCATAGAGCAGTTAGGAAACACTCTGTTTGAACAGTCTGAAAGTGGATATTCCGATCTCTTTGAGGCCTTTGTTGGAAAAGGGATTTCTTCATATAATGCTAGACAGAGGAATTCTCAGTAACTTCTCTGTGTTGTGTGTATTCAAATCACAGAGTTGAACGTTCCTTTAGACAGAGCAGACTTGAAACACTCTTTTTGTGGAATTTGCAATAGGAAATTTCAAGCGCTTTGAGGCCAAAGGCAGAAGAGGAAATATCTTCGTATAAAAACAAGTCAGAATCATTCTCAGAAACTGCTTAATCATGTGTGCGTTCAACTCACGGAGTTTAACCTACCTTTTCATACAGCAGTTTGGAAACACTCTGTTTGTAAAGTCTGCACGTGGATATTTGGACATCTTTGAGGCCTTCGTTGGAAACGGGTTTTATTCATGTAAGGCTAGACAGTAGATTTCTCAGTAACTTCTTTGTGTTGTGTGTATTCAACTGACAGAGTTGACCCTTCTTTTAGGTAGAGCAGATTTGAGACACTCTTTTTGTGGAATTTGCAAGTGGAGATTTCAGACGCTTTGAGGTCAATGGTAGAAAAGGACATTTGTTCGTATAAAAACTTGACAGAATGATTCTCAGAAACTGCTTTGTGATGTATGCGTTCAATTCAAAGAGTTCTACCTTTCTTTTCATAGAGCACTTAGGAAACACTCTGTTTGTAAAGACTGCAAGTGGATATTCGGACCTCTATGAGGCCTTCTTTGGAAAAGGGATTTCTTCATATAATGCTAGACAGAGGAATTCTTCGTAACTTCTTTGTATTGTGTGTATTCAACTCACAGAGTTGAACCTTCTTTTAGATAGAGCAGATTTGAAACACACTTTCTGTGGAATTTCCAATTGGAGATTTCAAGCGCTTCAGGGCCAATGGTAGAAAAGGAAAAATCTTCACATAAAAACTAGACAAAATCATTCCCAGAAACTGTGTAGTGATGTGTATGTTTAACTCACAGAGTTTATCCTTTCTTTTCATAGAGCAGTTGGGAAACACTCTGTTTGAAAAGTCTGCATGTGGATATTTGGACCGCCATGAGGCGTTCTTTGGAAATGGTATTTCTTCATTTAAGGCTACACAGAAGAATTCTCAGTAACTTCCTCGTGTTGTGTGTATTCAGCTCACAGAGTTGAACCTTCTTTTAGATAGAGCAGATTTGAAAGACACTTTTTGGGGAATTTGCAAGTGGGGATTTCAAGCGCTTTGAGGCCAACGGTAGAAAAGGAAATATCTTCGAATAAAAAGTAGACAGAATCATTCCCAGAAACTGCGTTTTGATGTGTGCGTTCACCTAACAGAGTTTAACCTTCCTTTTCATAGAGCAGTTGGGAAACGCTATGTTTGTAAAGTCTGCAAGTGGATATTGGGAACTCTTTGAGGCCTTCATTGGGAATGGGGTTTCTTCATATAATGCTAGACAGAAGATTTCCCAGTAACTTCTTCCTGTTGTGTGTATTCAACTGACAACAGATGAACCTTCCTTTAGAGAGAGCAGATTTGAAACACTCTTTTTGTGGAATTTGCAAGTGGAGATTTCAGCCGCTTTAACGTCAATGGTAGAAAAGGAAATATCTTCGCATAAAAGCAAGACAGAATCATTTTCAGAAACTGCTTTGTGATGTGTGCATTCAACTCACAGAGTTTAACCTTTGTTTTCATAGAGCCGTTTGGAAACACACAGTTTGTCAAATCTGTAAGTCGATATTCGGACCTATTTGAGGCCTTCGTTGGAAACGGGATTTCTTCATATAATGCTAGAAAGAAGAATTCTCAGTAACTTCCTTGTGTTGTGTGTAATCAACTCACAGAATAGAACGTTCCTTTAGATAGAGCAGATTTGAAACACTCTTTTTGTGGAAGTTGCACGTGGAGATTTCAAGCGCTTTGTGGTCAGTGGTAGAAAATGAAATATCTTCGTATAAAAAGTACACAGAATCATTCTCAGAAACTACTTTCTGATGTGTGCGTTCAACTCTCGGAGGTTAAACTTTCTTTTCATAGAGCAGTTTGGAAACAGTGTGTTTGTAAAGTCTGCAAGTGGATATTCGGACCTCTTTGGCGCCTTATTTTGAAACGGGGTTTCTCCATATAATGCTAGACAGAAGAATTCTCAGTAACTTGTTTGTGTTGTGTGTGTTCAACTCACAGAGTTGAACCTTCCTTTAGACAGAGCAGATTTGAAACACTCTTTTTGTGGAATTTGCAAGTGGAGATTTCAAGCGCTTTGAGGCCAAAGGCAGAAAAGGAAATATCTTCGTATAAAAACTAGATAGATCATTCTCAGAAACTGCTTTGTGATGTGTGCGTTCAACTCACAGAGTTTCACTTATCTTTTCGTACAGCAACTTGGAAACACTCTGTTTGTAATGTCTGCAAGTGGATATTTTGACCTCTTTTAGGTCTTCGTTGGAAACGGGTTTTATTCATGTAAGGCTAGACAGAAGAATTCTCAGTAACTTCTTTGTATTGTGTGTATTCCACTGACAGAGTTGACCCTTCCTTTAGACAGAGCACATTTGAACCACTCTTTTTGTGGAATTTGCAAGTGGAGATTTCAGACGCATTGAGGTCAATGGTAGAAAAGGAAATATCTTCGTATAAAAACTAGACAGAATGATTCTCAGAACCTGCTTCGTGATGTGTGTGTTCAGTTCAAAGAGTTTTACCTTACTTTTCATAGAGCTGTTAGGGAACACTCTGTTTGAACAGTCTGAAAGTGGATATTCCGATCTCTTTGAGGCCTTTGTTGGAAAAGGGATTTCTTCATATAATGCTAGACAGAGGAATTCTCAGTAACTTCTCTGTGTTGTGTGTATTCAAATCACAGAGTTGAACGTTCCTTTAGACAGAGCAGACTTGAAACACTCTTTTTGTGGAATTTGCAATAGGAAATTTCAAGCGCTTTGAGGCCAAAGGCAGAAGAGGAAATATCTTCGTATAAAAACAAGTCAGAATCATTCTCAGAAACTGCTTAATCATGTGTGCGTTCGACTCACGGAGTTTAACCTACCTTTTCATACAGCAGTTTGGAAACACTCTGTTTGTAAAGTCTGCACGTGGATATTTGGACATCTTTGAGGCCTTCGTTGGAAACGGGTTTTATTCATGTAAGGCTAGACAGAAGATTTCTCAGTAACTTCTTTGTGTTGTGTGTATTCAACTGACAGAGTTGACCCTTCTTTTAGGTAGAGCAGATTTGAGACACTCTTTTTGTGGAATTTGCAAGTGGAGATTTCAGACGCTTTGAGGTCAATGGTAGAAAAGGACATTTCTTCGTATAAAAACTTGACAGAATGATTCTCAGAAACTGCTTTGTGATGTATGCGTTCAAGTCAAAGAGTTCTACCTTTCTTTTCATAGAGCACTTAGGAAACACTCTGTTTGTAAAGACTGCAAGTGGATATTCGGACCTCTATGAGGCCTTCTTTGGAAAAGGGATTTCTTCATATAATGCTAGACAGAGGAATTCTTCGTAACTTCTTTGTATTGTGTGTATTCAACTCACAGAGTTGAACCTTCTTTTAGATAGAGCAGATTTGAAACACACTTTCTGTGGAATTTCCAATTGGAGATTTCAAGCGCTTCGGGGCCAATGGTAGAAAAGGAAAAATCTTCACAAATAAACTAGACAAAATCATTCCCAGAAACTGTGTAGTGATGTGTATGTTTAACTCACAGAGTTTATCCTTTCTTTTCATAGAGCAGTTGGGAAACACTCTGTTTGAAAAGTCTGCATGTGGATATTTGGACCGCCATGAGGCGTTCTTTGGAAATGGTATTTCTTCATTTAAGGCTACACAGAAGAATTCTCAGTAACTTCCTTGTGTTGTGTGTATTCAGCTCACAGAGTTGAACCTTCTTTTAGATAGAGCAGATTTGAAAGACACTTTTTGGGGAATTTGCAAGTGGGGATTTCAAGCGCTTTGAGGCCAACGGTAGAAAAGGAAATATCTTCGAATAAAAAGTAGACAGAATCATTCCCAGAAACTGCGTTTTGATGTGTGCGTTCACCTAACAGAGTTTAACCTTCCTTTTCATAGAGCAGTTGGGAAACGCTATGTTTGTAAAGTCTGCAAGTGGATATTGGGAACTCTTTGAGGCCTTCATTGGGAATGGGGTTTCTTCATATAATGCTAGACAGAAGATTTCCCAGTAACTTCTTCCTGTTGTGTGTATTCAACTGACAACAGATGAACCTTCCTTTAGAGAGAGCAGATTTGAAACACTCTTTTTGTGGAAGTTGCAAGTGGAGATTTCAGCCGCTTTAACGTCAATGGTAGAAAAGGAAATATCTTCGCATAAAAACAAGACAGAATCATTTTCAGAAACTGCTTTGTGATGTGTGCATTCAACTCACAGAGTTTAACCTTTGTTTTCATAGAGCCGTTTGGAAACACACAGTTTGTCAAATCTGTAAGTCGATATTCGGAACTATTTGAGGCCTTCGTTGGAAACGGGATTTCTTCATATAATGCTAGAAAGAAGAATTCTCAGTAACTTCCTTGTGTTGTGTGTAATCAACTCACAGAATAGAACGTTCCTTTAGATAGAGCAGATTTGAAACACTCTTTTTGTGGAAGTTGCACGTGGAGATTTCAAGCGCTTTGTGGCCAGTGGTAGAAAATGAAATATCTTCGTATAAAAAGTACACAGAATCATTCTCAGAAACTACTTTCTGATGTGTGCGTTCAACTCTCGGAGGTTAAACTTTCTTTTCATAGAGCAGTTTGGAAACAGTGTGTTTGTAAAGTCTGCAAGTGGATATTCGGACCTCTTTGGCGCCTTATTTTGAAACGGGGTTTCTCCCTATAATGCTAGACAGAAGAATTCTCAGTAACTTGTTTGTGTTGTGTGTGTTCAACTCACAGAGTTGAACCTTCCTTTAGACAGAGCAGATTTGAAACACTCTTTTTGTGGAATTTGCAAGTGGAGATTTCAAGCGCTTTGAGGCCAAAGGCAGAAAAGGAAATATCTTCGTATAAAAACTACATAGATCATTCTCAGAAACTGCTTTGTGATGTGTGCGTTCAACTCACAGAGTTTCACTTATCTTTTCGTACAGCAGTTTGGAAACACTCTGTTTGTAATGTCTGCAAGTGGATATTTTGACCTCTTTGAGGTCTTCGTTGGAAACGGGTTTTATTCATGTAAGGCTAGACAGAAGAATTCTCAGTAACTTCTTTGTATTGTGTGTATTCCACTGACAGAGTTGACCCTTCCTTTAGACAGAGCACATTTGAACCACTCTTTTTGTGGAATTTGCAAGTGGAGATTTCAGACGCATTGAAGTCAATGGTACAAAAGGAAATATCTTCGTATAAAAACTAGACAGAAATGATTCTCAGTAACCTGCTTCGTGATGTGTGTGTTCAGTTCAAAGAGTTTTACCTTTCTTTTCATAGAGCAGTTAGGAAACACTCTGTTTGAACAGTCTGAAAGTGGATATTCCGATCTCTTTGAGGCCTTTGTTGGAAAAGGGATTTCTTCATATAATGCTAGACAGAGGAATTCTCAGTAACTTCTCTGTGTTGTGTGTATTCAAATCACAGAGTTGAACGTTCCTTTAGACAGAGCAGACTTGAAACACTCTTTTTGTGGAATTTGCAATAGGAAATTTCAAGCGCTTTGAGGCCAAAGGCAGAAGAGGAAATATCTTCGTATAAAAACAAGTCAGAATCATTCTCAGAAACTGCTTAATCATGTGTGCGTTCAACTCACGGAGTTTAACCTACCTTTTCATACAGCAGTTTGGAAACACTCTGTTTGTAAAGTCTGCACGTGGATATTTGGACATCTTTGAGGCCTTCGTTGGAAACGGGTTTTATTCATGTAAGGCTAGACAGAAGATTTCTCAGTAACTTCTTTGTGTTGTGTGTATTCAACTGACAGAGTTGACCCTTCTTTTAGGTAGAGCAGATTTGACACACTCTTTTTGTGGAATTTGCAAGTGGAGATTTCAGACGCTTTGAGGTCAATGGTAGAAAAGGACATTTCTTCGTATAAAAACTTGACAGAATGATTCTCAGAAACTGCTTTGTGATGTATGCGTTCAATTCAAAGAGTTCTACCTTTCTTTTCATAGAGCACTTAGGAAACACTCTGTTTGTAAAGACTGCAAGTGGATATTCGGACCTCTATGAGGCCTTCTTTGGAAAAGGGATTTCTTCATATAATGCTAGACAGAGGAATTCTTCGTAACTTCTTTGTATTGTGTGTATTCAACTCACAGAGTTGAACCTTCTTTTAGATAGAGCAGATTTGAAACACACTTTCTGTGGAATTTCCAATTGGAGATTTCAAGCGCTTCGGGGCCAATGGTAGAAAAGGAAAAATCTTCACAAATAAACTAGACAAAACTCATTCCCAGCAAACTGTGTAGTGATGTGTATGTTTAACTCACAGAGTTTATCCTTTCTTTTCATAGAGCAGTTGGGAAACACTCTGTTTGAAAAGTCTGCATGTGGATATTTGGACCGCCATGAGGCGTTCTTTGGAAATGGTATTTCTTCATTTAAGGCTACACAGAAGAATTCTCAGTAACTTCCTTGTGTTGTGTGTATTCAGCTCACAGAGTTGAACCTTCTTTTAGATAGAGCAGATTTGAAAGACACTTTTTGGGGAATTTGCAAGTGGGGATTTCAAGCGCTTTGAGGCCAACGGTAGAAAAGGAAATATCTTCGAATAAAAAGTAGACAGAATCATTCCCAGAAACTGCGTTTTGATGTGTGCGTTCACCTAACAGAGTTTAACCTTCCTTTTCATAGAGCAGTTGGGAAACGCTATGTTTGTAAAGTCTGCAAGTGGATATTGGGAACTCTTTGAGGCCTTCATTGGGAATGGGGTTTCTTCATATAATGCTAGACAGAAGATTTCCCAGTAACTTCTTCCTGTTGTGTGTATTCAACTGACAACAGATGAACCTTCCTTTAGAGAGAGCAGATTTGAAACACTCTTTTTGTGGAATTTGCAAGTGGAGATTTCAGCCGCTTTAACGTCAATGGTAGAAAAGGAAATATCTTCGCAGAAAAACAAGACAGAATCATTTTCAGAAACTGCTTTGTGATGTGTGCATTCAACTCACAGAGTTTAACCTTTGTTTTCCTAGAGCCGTTTGGAAACACACAGTTTGTCAAATCTGTAAGTCGATATTCGGACCTATTTGAGGCCTTCGTTGGAAACGGGATTTCTTCATATAATGCTAGAAAGAAGAATTCTCAGTAACTTCCTTGTGTTCTGTGTAATCAACTCACAGAATAGAACGTTCCTTTAGATAGAGCAGATTTGAAACACTCTTTTTGTGGAAGTTGCACGTGGAGATTTCAAGCGCTTTGTGGCCAGTGGTAGAAAATGAAATATCTTCGTATAAAAAGTACACAGAATCATTCTCAGAAACTACTTTCTGATGTGTGCGTTCAACTCTCGGAGTTTAAACTTTCTTTTCATAGAGCAGTTTGGAAACAGTGTGTTTGTAAAGTCTGCAAGTGGATATTCGACCTCTTTGGCGCCTTATTTTGAAACGGGGTTTCTCCATATAATGCTAGACAGAAGAATTCTCAGTAACTTGTTTGTGTTGTGTGTGTTCAACTCACAGAGTTGAACCTTCCTTTAGACAGAGCAGATTTGAAACACTCTTTTTGTGGAATTTGCAAGTGGAGATTTCAAGCGCTTTGAGGCCAAAGGCAGAAAAGGAAATATCTTCGTATAGAAACTAGATAGTCATTCTCAGAAACTGCTTTGTGATGTGTGCGTTCAACTCACAGAGTTTCACTTATCTTTTCGTACAGCAGTTTGGAAACACTCTGTTTGTAATGTCTGCAAGTGTATATTTTGACCTCTTTGAGGTCTTCGTTGGAAACGGGTTTTATTCATGTAAGGCTAGACAGAAGAATTCTCAGTAACTTCTTTGTATTGTGTGTATTCCACTGACAGAGTTGACCCTTCCTTTAGACAGAGCACATTTGAACCACTCTTTTTGTGGAATTTGTAAGTGGAGATTTCAGACGCATTGAGGTCAATGGTAGAAAAGGAAATATCTTCGTATAAAAACTAGACAGAATGATTCTCAGAACCTGCTTCGTGATGTGTGTGTTCAGTTCAAAGAGTTTTACCTTTCTTTTCATAGAGCAGTTAGGAAACACTCTGTTTGAACAGTCTGAAAGTGGATATTCCGATCTCTTTGAGGCCTTCGTTGGAAAAGGGATTTCTTCATATAATGCTAGACAGAGGAATTCTCAGTAACTTCTCTGTGTTGTGTGTATTCAAATCACAGAGTTGAACGTTCCTTTAGACAGAGCAGACTTGAAACACTCTTTTTGTGGAATTTGCAATAGGAAATTTCAAGCGCTTTGAGGCCAAAGGCAGAAGAGGAAATATCTTCGTATAAAAACAAGTCAGAATCATTCTCAGAAACTGCTTAATCATGTGTGCGTTCGACTCACGGAGTTTAACCTACCTTTTCATACAGCAGTTTGGAAACACTCTGTTTGTAAAGTCTGCACGTGGATATTTGGACATCTTTGAGGCCTTCGTTGGAAACGGGTTTTATTCATGTAAGGCTAGACAGAAGATTTCTCAGTAACTTCTTTCTGTTGTGTGTATTCAACTGACAGAGTTGACCCTTCTTTTAGGTAGAGCAGATTTGAGACACTCTTTTTGTGGAATTTGCAAGTGGAGATTTCAGACGCTTTGAGGTCAATGGTAGAAAAGGACATTTCTTCGTATAAAAACTTGACAGAATGATTCTCAGAAACTGCTTTGTGATGTATGCGTTCAATTCAAAGAGTTCTACCTTTCTTTTCATAGAGCACTTAGGAAACACTCTGTTTGTAAAGACTGCAAGTGGATATTCGGACCTCTATGAGGCCTTCTTTGGAAAAGGGATTTCTTCATATAATGCTAGACAGAGGAATTCTTCGTAACTTCTTTGTATTGTGTGTATTCAACTCACAGAGTTGAACCTTCTTTTAGATAGAGCAGATTTGAAACACACTTTCTGTGGAATTTCCAATTGGAGATTTCAAGCGCTTCGGGGCCAATGGTAGAAAAGGAAAAATCTTCACATAAAAACTAGACAAAATCATTCCCAGAAACTGTGTAGTGATGTGTATGTTTAACTCACAGAGTTTATCCTTTCTTTTCATAGAGCAGTTGGGAAACACTCTGTTTGAAAAGTCTGCATGTGGATATTTGGACCGCCATGAGGCGTTCTTTGGAAATGGTATTTCTTCATTTAAGGCTACACAGAAGAATTCTCAGTAACTTCTTTGTGTTGTGTGTATTCCGCTCACAGAGTTGAACCTTCTTTTAGATAGAGCAGATTTGAAAGACACTTTTTGGGGAATTTGCAAGTGGGGATTTCAAGCGCTTTGAGGCCAACGGTAGAAAAGGAAATATCTTCGAATAAAAAGTAGACAGAATCATTCCCAGAAACTGCGTTTTGATGTGTGCGTTCACGTAACAGAGTTTAACCTTCCTTTTCATAGAGCAGTTGGGAAACGCTATGTTTGTAAAGTCTGCAAGTGGATATTGGGAACTCTTTGAGGCCTTCATTGGGAATGGGGTTTCTTCATATAATGCTAGACAGAAGATTTCCCAGTAACTTCTTCCTGTTGTGTGTATTCAACTGACAACAGATGAACCTTCCTTTAGAGAGAGCAGATTTGAAACACTCTTTTTGTGGAAGTTGCAAGTGGAGATTTCAGCCGCTTTAACGTCAATGGTAGAAAAGGAAATATCTTCGCATAAAAACAAGACAGAATCATTTTCAGAAACTGCTTTGTGATGTGTGCATTCAACTCACAGAGTTTAACCTTTGTTTTCATAGAGCCGTTTGGAAACACACAGTTTGTCAAATCTGTAAGTCGATATTCGGAACTATTTGAGGCCTTCGTTGGAAACGGGATTTCTTCATATAATGCTAGAAAGAAGAATTCTCAGTAACTTCCTTGTGTTGTGTGTAATCAACTCACAGAATAGAACGTTCCTTTAGATAGAGCAGATTTGAAACACTCTTTTTGTGGAAGTTGCACGTGGAGATTTCAAGCGCTTTGTGGCCAGTGGTAGAAAATGAAATATCTTCGTATAAAAAGTACACAGAATCATTCTCAGAAACTACTTTCTGATGTGTGCGTTCAACTCTCGGAGTTTAAACTTTCTTTTCATAGAGCAGTTTGGAAACAGTGTGTTTGTAAAGTCTGCAAGTGGATATTCGGACCTCTTTAGCGCCTTATTTTGAAACGGGGTTTCTCCATATAATGCTAGACAGAAGAATTCTCAATAACTTGTTTGTGTTGTGTGTGTTCAACTCACAGAGTTGAACCTTCCTTTAGACAGAGCAGATTTGAAACACTCTTTTTGTGGAATTTGCAAGTGGAGATTTCAAGCGCTTTGAGGCCAAAGGCAGAAAAGGAAATATCTTCGTATAAAAACTAGATAGTCATTCTCAGAAACTGGTTTGTGATGTGTGCGTTCAACTCACAGAGTTTCACTTATCTTTTCGTACAGCAGTTTGGAAACACTCTGTTTGTAATGTCTGCAAGTGGATATTTTGACCTCTTTGAGGTCTTCATTGGAAACGGGTTTTATTCATGTAAGGCTAGACAGAAGAATTCTCAGTAACTTCTTTGTATTGTGTGTATTCCACTGACAGAGTTGACCCTTTCTTTAGACAGAGCACATTTGAACCACTCTTTTTGTGGAATTTGCAAGTGGAGATTTCAGACGCATTGAGGTCAATGGTAGAAAAGGAAATATCTTCGTATAAAAACTAGACAGAATGATTCTCAGAACCTGCTTCGTGATGTGTGTGTTCAGTTCAAAGAGTTTTACCTTTCTTTTCATAGAGCAGTTAGGAAACACTCTGTTTGAACAGTCTGAAAGTGGATATTCCGATCTCTTTGAGGCCTTCGTTGGAAAAGGGATTTCTTCATATAATGCTAGACAGAGGAATTCTCAGTAACTTCTCTGTGTTGTGTGTATTCAAATCACAGAGTTGAACGTTCCTTTAGACAGAGCAGACTTGAAACACTCTTTTTGTGGAATTTGCAATAGGAAATTTCAAGCGCTTTGAGGCCAAAGGCAGAAGAGGAAATATCTTCGTATAAAAACAAGTCAGAATCATTCTCAGAAACTGCTTAATCATGTGTGCGTTCGACTCACGGAGTTTAACCTACCTTTTCATAAAGCAGTTTGGAAACACTCTGTTTGTAAAGTCTGCACGTGGATATTTGGACATCTTTGAGGCCTTCGTTGGAAACGGGTTTTATTCATGTAAGGCTAGACAGAAGATTTCTCAGTAACTTCTTTGTGTTGTGTGTATTCAACTGACAGAGTTGACCCTTCTTTTAGGTAGAGCAGATTTGAGACACTCTTTTTGTGGAATTTGCAAGTGGAGATTTCAGACGCTTTGAGGTCAATGGTAGAAAAGGACATTTCTTCGTATAAAAACTTGACAGAATGATTCTCAGAAACTGCTTTGTGATGTATGCGTTCAATTCAAAGAGTTCTACCTTTCTTTTCATAGAGCACTTAGGAAACACTCTGTTTGTAAAGACTGCAAGTGGATATTCGGACCTCTATGAGGCCTTCTTTGGAAAAGGGATTTCTTCATATAATGCTAGACAGAGGAATTCTTCGTAACTTCTTTGTATTGTGTGTATTCAACTCACAGAGTTGAACCTTCTTTTAGATAGAGCAGATTTGAAACACACTTTCTGTGGAATTTCCAATTGGAGATTTCAAGCGCTTCGGGGCCAATGGTAGAAAAGGAAAAATCTTCACATAAAAACTAGACAAAATCATTCCCAGAAACTGTGTAGTGATGTGTATGTTTAACTCACAGAGTTTATCCTTTCTTTTCATAGAGCAGTTGGGAAACACTCTGTTTGAAAAGTCTGCATGTGGATATTTGGACCGCCATGAGGCGTTCTTTGGAAATGGTATTTCTTCATTTAAGGCTACACAGAAGAATTCTCAGTAACTTCTTTGTGTTGTGTGTATTCCGCTCACAGAGTTGAACCTTCTTTTAGATAGAGCAGATTTGAAAGACACTTTTTGGGGAATTTGCAAGTGGGGATTTCAAGCGCTTTGAGGCCAACGGTAGAAAAGGAAATATCTTCGAATAAAAAGTAGACAGAATCATTCCCAGAAACTGCGTTTTGATGTGTGCGTTCACCTAACAGAGTTTAACCTTCCTTTTCATAGAGCAGTTGGGAAACGCTATGTTTGTAAAGTCTGCAAGTGGATATTGGGAACTCTTTGAGGCCTTCATTGGGAATGGGGTTTCTTCATATAATGCTAGACAGAAGATTTCCCAGTAACTTCTTCCTGTTGTGTGTATTCAACTGACAACAGATGAACCTTCCTTTAGAGAGAGCAGATTTGAAACACTCTTTTTGTGGAAGTTGCTCGTGGAGATTTCAAGCGCTTTGTGGCCAGTGGTAGAAAATGAAATATCTTCGTATAAAAAGTACACAGAATCATTCTCAGAAACTACTTTCTGATGTGTGCGTTCAACTCTCGGAGTTTAAACTTTCTTTTCATAGAGCAGTTTGGAAACAGTGTGTTTGTAAAGTCTGCAAGTGGATATTCGGACCTCTTTGGCGCCTTATTTTGAAACGGGGTTTCTCCATATAATGCTAGACAGAAGACTTCTCAGTAACTTGTTTGTGTTGTGTGTGTTCAACTCACAGAGTTGAACCTTCCTTTAGACAGAGCAGATTTGAAACACTCTTTTTGTGGAATTTGCAAGTGGAGATTTCAAGTGCTTTGAGGCCAAAGGCAGAAAAGGAAATATCTTCGTATAAAAACTAGATAGATCATTCTCAGAAACTGCTTTGTGATGTGTGCGTTCAACCCACAGAGTTTCACTTATCTTTTCGTACAGCAGCTTGGAAACACTATGTTTGTAATGTCTGCAAGTGGATATTTTGACCTCTTTTAGGTCTTCGTTGGAAACGGGTTTTATTCATGTAAGGCTAGACAGAAGAATTCTCAGTAACTTCTTTGTATTGTGTGTATTCCACTGACAGAGTTGACCCTTCCTTTAGACAGAGCACATTTGAACCACTCTTTTTGTGGAATTTGCAAGTGGAGATTTCAGACGCATTGAGGTCAATGGTAGAAAAGGAAATATCTTCGTATAAAAACTAGACAGAATGATTCTCAGAACCTGCTTCGTGATGTGTGTGTTCAGTTCAAAGAGTTTTACCTTTCTTTTCATAGAGCAGTTAGGAAACACTCTGTTTGAACAGTCTGAAAGTGGATATTCCGATCTCTTTGAGGCCTTTGTTGGAAAAGGGATTTCTTCATATAATGCTAGACAGAGGAATTCTCAGTAACTTCTCTGTGTTGTGTGTATTCAAATCACAGAGTTGAACGTTCCTTTAGACAGAGCAGACTTGAAACACTCTTTTTGTGGAATTTGCAATAGGAAATTTCAAGCACTTTGAGGCCAAAGGCAGAAGAGGAAATATCTTCGTATAAAAGCAAGTCAGAATCATTCTCAGAAACTGCTTAATCATGTGTGCGTTCGACTCACGGAGTTTAACCTACCTTTTCATACAGCAGTTTGGAAACACTCTGTTTGTAAAGTCTGCACGTGGATATTTGGACATCTTTGAGGCCTTCGTTGGAAACGGGTTTTATTCATGTAAGGCTAGACAGAAGATTTCTCAGTAACTTCTATGTGTTGTGTGTATTCAACTGACAGAGTTGACCCTTCTTTTAGGTAGAGCAGATTTGAGACACTCTTTTTGTGGAATTTGCAAGTGGAGATTTCAGACGCTTTGAGGTCAATGGTAGAAAAGGACATTTCTTCATATAAAAACTTGACAGAATGATTCTCAGAAACTGCTTTGTGATGTATGCGTTCAATTCAAAGAGTTCTACCTTTCTTTTCATAGAGCACTTAGGAAACACTCTGTTTGTAAAGACTGCAAGTGGATATTCGGACCTCTATGAGGCCTTCTTTGGAAAAGGGATTTCTTCATATAATGCTAGACAGAGGAATTCTTCGTAACTTCTTTGTATTGTGTGTATTCAACTCACAGAGTTGAACCTTCTTTTAGATAGAGCAGATTTGACACACACTTTCTGTGGAATTTCCAATTGGAGATTTCAAGCGCTTCGGGGCCAATGGTAGAAAAGGAAAAATCTTCACATAAAAACTAGACAAAATCATTCCCAGAAACTGTGTAGTGATGTGGATGTT
Organism: Homo sapiens; assembly: GCF_000001405.40. Lineage (NCBI taxonomy): Eukaryota > Metazoa > Chordata > Mammalia > Primates > Hominidae > Homo > Homo sapiens. Next base: position 47,197,680 of record NC_000005.10, read on the forward strand.
TAACTCACAGAGTTTATCCTTTCTTTTCATAGAGCAGTTGGGAAACACTCTGTTTGAAAAGTCTGCATGTGGATATTTGGACCGCCATGAGGCGTTCTTTGGAAATGGTATTTCTTCATTTAAGGCTACACAGAAGAATTCTCAGTAACTTCCTTGTGTTGTGTGTATTCAGCTCACAGAGTTGAACCTTCTTTTAGATAGAGCAGATTTGAAAGACACTTTTTGGGGAATTTGCAAGTGGGGATTTCAAGCGCTTTGAGGCCAACGGTAGAAAAGGAAATATCTTCGAATAAAAAGTAGACAGAATCATTCCCAGAAACTGCGTTTTGATGTGTGCGTTCACCTAACAGAGTTTAACCTTCCTTTTCATAGAGCAGTTGGGAAACGCTATGTTTGTAAAGTCTGCAAGTGGATATTGGGAACTCTTTGAGGCCTTCATTGGGAATGGGGTTTCTTCATATAATGCTAGACAGAAGATTTCCCAGTAACTTCTTCCTGTTGTGTGTATTCAACTGACAACAGATGAACCTTCCTTTAGAGAGAGCAGATTTGAAACACTCTTTTTGTGGAATTTGCAAGTGGAGATTTCAGCCGCTTTAACGTCAATGGTAGAAAAGGAAATATCTTCGCATAAAAACAAGACAGAATCATTTTCAGAAACTGCTTTGTGATGTGTGCATTCAACACACAGAGTTTAACCTTTGTTTTCATAGAGCCGTTTGGAAACACACAGTTTGTCTAACCTATAAGTCGATATTCGGACCTATTTGAGGCCTTCGTTGGAAACGGGATTTCTTCATATAATGCTAGAAAGAAGAATTCTCAGTAACTTCCTTGTGTTGTGTGTAATCAACTCACAGAATAGAACGTTCCTTTAGATAGAGCAGATTTGAAACACTCTTTTTGTGGAAGTTGCACGTGGAGATTTCAAGCGCTTTGTGGCCGGTGGAAGAAAATGAAATATCTTCGTATAAAAAGTACACAGAATCATTCTCAGAAACTACTTTCTGATGTGTGCGTTCAACTCTCGGAGGTTAAACTTTCTTTTCATAGAGCAGTTTGGAAACAGTGTGTTTGTAAAGTCTGCAAGTGGATATTCGGACCTCTTTGGCGCCTTAATTTGAAACGGGGTTTCTCCCTATAATGCTAGACAGAAGAATTCTCAGTAACTTGTTTGTGTTGTGTGTGTTCAACTCACAGAGTTGAACCTTCCTTTAGACAGAGCAGATTTGAAACACTCTTTTTGTGGAATTTGCAAGTGGAGATTTCAAGCGCTTTGAGGCCAAAGGCAGAAAAGGAAATATCTTCGTATAAAAACTAGATAGATCATTCTCAGAAACTGCTTTGTGATGTGTGCGTTCAACTCACAGAGTTTCACTTATCTTTTCGTACAGCAGCTTGGAAACACTCTGTTTGTAATGTCTGCAAGTGGATATTTTGACCTCTTTTAGGTCTTCGTTGGAAACGGGTTTTATTCATGTAAGGCTAGACAGAAGAATTCTCAGTAACTTCTTTGTATTGTGTGTATTCCACTGACAGAGTTGACCCTTCCTTTAGACAGAGCACATTTGAACCACTCTTTTTGTGGAATTTGCAAGTGGAGATTTCAGACGCATTGAGGTCAATGGTAGAAAAGGAAATATCTTCGTATAAAAACTAGACAGAATGATTCTCAGAACCTGCTTCGTGATGTGTGTGTTCAGTTCAAAGAGTTTTACCTTTCTTTTCATAGAGCAGTTAGGAAACACTCTGTTTGAACAGTCTGAAAGTGGATATTCCGATCTCTTTGAGGCCTTTGTTGGAAAAGGGATTTCTTCATATAATGCTAGACAGAGGAATTCTCAGTAACTTCTCTGTGTTGTGTGTATTCAAATCACAGAGTTGAACGTTCCTTTAGACAGAGCAGACTTGAAACACTCTTTTTGTGGAATTTGCAATAGCAAATTTCAAGCGCTTTGAGGCCAAAGGCAGAAGAGGAAATATCTTCGTATAAAAACAAGTCAGAATCATTCTCAGAAACTGCTTAATCATGTGTGCGTTCGACTCACGGAGTTTAACCTACCTTTTCATACAGCAGTTTGGAAACACTCTGTTTGTAAAGTCTGCACGTGGATATTTGGACATCTTTGAGGCCTTCGTTGGAAACGGGTTTTATTCATGTAAGGCTAGACAGAAGATTTCTCAGTAACTTCTTTGTGTTGTGTGTATTCAACTGACAGAGTTGACCCTTCTTTTAGGTAGAGCAGATTTGAGACACTCTTTTTGTGGAATTTGCAAGTGCAGATTTCAGACGCTTTGAGGTCAATGGTAGAAAAGGACATTTCTTCGTATAAAATCTTGACAGAATGATTCTCAGAAACTGCTTTGTGATGTATGCGTTCAATTCAAAGAGTTCTACCTTTCTTTTCATAGAGCACTTAGGAAACACTCTGTTTGTAAAGACTGCAAGTGGATATTCGGACCTCTATGAGGCCTTCTTTGGAAAAGGGATTTCTTCATATAATGCTAGACAGAGGAATTCTTCGTAACTTCTTTGTATTGTGTGTATTCAACTCACAGAGTTGAACCTTCTTTTAGATAGAGCAGATTTGAAACACACTTTTTGTGGAATTTCCAATTGGAGATTTCAAGCGCTTCGGGGCCAATGGTAGAAAAGGAAAAATCTTCACATAAAAACTAGACAAACTCATTCCCAGAAACTGTGTAGTGATGTGTATTTTTAACTCACAGAGTTTATCCTTTCTTTTCATAGAGCAGTTGGGAAACACTCTGTTTGAAAAGTCTGCATGTGGATATTTGGACCGCCATGAGGCGTTCTTTGGAAATGGTATTTCTTCATTTAAGGCTACACAGAAGAATTCTCAGTAACTTCCTTGTGTTGTGTGTATTCAGCTCACAGAGTTGAACCTTCTTTTAGATAGAGCAGATTTGAAAGACACTTTTTGGGGAATTTGCAAGTGGGGATTTCAAGCGCTTTGAGGCCAACGGTAGAAAAGGAAATATCTTCGAATAAAAAGTAGACAGAATCATTCCCAGAAACTGCGTTTTGATGTGTGCGTTCACCTAACAGAGTTTAACCTTCCTTTTCATAGAGCAGTTGGGAAACGCTATGTTTGTAAAGTCTGCAAGTGGATATTGGGAACTCTTTGAGGCCTTCATTGGGAATGGGGTTTCTTCATATAATGCTAGACAGAAGATTTCCCAGTAACTTCTTCCTGTTGTGTGTATTCAACTGACAACAGATGAACCTTCCTTTAGAGAGAGCAGATTTGAAACACTCTTTTTGTGGAAGTTGCAAGTGGAGATTTCAGCCGCTTTAACGTCAATGGTAGAAAAGGAAATATCTTCGCATAAAAACAAGACAGAATCATTTTCAGAAACTGCTTTGTGATGTGTGCATTCAACTCACAGAGTTTAACCTCTGTTTTCATAGAGCCGTTTGGAAACACACAGTTTGTCAAATCTGTAAGTCGATATTCGGAACTATTTGAGGCCTTCGTTGGAAACGGGATTTCTTCATATAATGCTAGAAAGAAGAATTCTCAGTAACTTCCTTGTGTTGTGTGTAATCAACTCACAGAATAGAACGTTCCTTTAGATAGAGCAGATTTGAAACACTCTTTTTGTGGAAGTTGCACGTGGAGATTTCAAGCGCTTTGTGGCCAGTGGTAGAAAATGAAATATCTTCGTATAAAAAGTACACAGAATCATTCTCAGAAACTACTTTCTGATGTGTGCGTTCAACTCTCGGAGTTTAAACTTTCTTTTCATAGAGCAGTTTGGAAACAGTGTGTTTGTAAAGTCTGCAAGTGGATATTCGGACCTCTTTGGCGCCTTATTTTGAAACGGGGTTTCTCCATATAATGCTACACAGAAGAATTCTCAGTAACTTGTTTGTGTTGTGTGTGTTCAACTCACAGAGTTGAACCTTCCTTTAGACAGAGCAGATTTGAAACACTCTTTTTGTGGAATTTGCAAGTGGAGATTTCAAGCGCTTTGAGGCCAAAGGCAGAAAAGGAAATATCTTCGTATAAAAACTAGATAGTCATTCTCAGATACTGCTTTGTGATGTGTGCGTTCAACTCACAGAGTTACACTTATCTTTTCGTACAGCAGTTTGGAAACACTCTGTTTGTAATGTCTGCAAGTGGATATTTTGACCTCTTTGAGGTCTTCGTTGGAAACGGGTTTTATTCATGTAAGGCTAGACAGAAGAATTCTCAGTAACTTCTTTGTATTGTGTGTATTCCACTGACAGAGTTGACCCTTCCTTTAGACAGAGCACATTTGAACCACTCTTTTTGTGGAATTTGCAAGTGGAGATTTCAGACGCATTGAGGTCAATGGTAGAAAAGGAAATATCTTCGTATAAAAACTAGACAGAATGATTCTCAGAACCTGCTTCGTGATGTGTGTGTTCAGTTCAAAGAGTTTTACCTTTCTTTTCATAGAGCAGTTAGGAAACACTCTGTTTGAACAGTCTGAAAGTGGATATTCCGATCTCTTTGAGGCCTTCGTTGGAAAAGGGATTTCTTCATATAATGCTAGACAGAGGAATTCTCAGTAACTTCTCTGTGTTGTGTGTATTCAAATCACAGAGTTGAACGTTCCTTTAGACAGAGCAGACTTGAAACACTCTTTTTGTGGAATTTGCAATAGCAAATTTCAAGCGCTTTGAGGCCAAAGGCAGAAGAGGAAATATCTTCGTATAAAAACAAGTCAGAATCATTCTCAGAAACTGCTTTATCATGTGTGCGTTCAACTCACGGAGTTTAACCTACCTTTTCATACAGCAGTTTGGAAACACTCTGTTTGTAAAGTCTGCACGTGGATATTTGGACATCTTTGAGGCCTTCGTTGGAAACGGGTTTTATTCATGTAAGGCTAGACAGAAGATTTCTCAGTAACTTCTTTGTGTTGTGTGTATTCAACTGACAGAGTTGACCCTTCTTTTAGGTAGAGCAGATTTGACACACTCTTTTTGTGGAATTTGCAAGTGGAGATTTCAGACGCTTTGAGGTCAATGGTAGAAAAGGACATTTCTTCGTATAAAAACTTGACAGAATGATTCTCAGAAACTGCTTTGTGATGTATGCGTTCAATTCAAAGAGTTCTACCTTTCTTTTCATAGAGCACTTAGGAAACACTCTGTTTGTAAAGACTGCAAGTGGATATTCGGACCTCTATGAGGCCTTCTTTGGAAAAGGGATTTCTTCATATAATGCTAGACAGAGGAATTCTTCGTAACTTCTTTGTATTGTGTGTATTCAACTCACAGAGTTGAACCTTCTTTTAGATAGAGCAGATTTGAAACACACTTTCTGTGGAATTTCCAATTGGAGATTTCAAGCGCTTCGGGGCCAATGGTAGAAAAGGAAAAATCTTCACAAAAAAACTAGACAAAATCATTCCCAGAAACTGTGTAGTGATGTGTATGTTTAACTCACAGAGTTTATCCTTTCTTTTCATAGAGCAGTTGGGAAACACCCTGTTTGAAAAGTCTGCATGTGGATATTTGGACCGCCATGAGGCGTTCTTTGGAAATGGTATTTCTTCATTTAAGGCTACACAGAAAGAATTCTCAGTAACTTCCTTGTGTTGTGTGTATTCAGCTCACAGAGTTGAACCTTCTTTTAGATAGAGCAGATTTGAAAGACACTTTTTGGGGAATTTGCAAGTGGGGATTTCAAGCGCTTTGAGGCCAACGGTAGAAAAGGAAATATCTTCGAATAAAAAGTAGACAGAATCATTCCCAGAAACTGCGTTTTGATGTGTGCATTCACCTAACAGAGTTAAACCTTCCTTTTCAAAGAGCTGTTGGGAAACGCTATATTTGTAAAGTCTGCAAGTGGATATTGGGAACTCTTTGTGGCCTTCATTGGGAATGGGGTTTCTTCATATAATGCTAGACAGAAGATTTCCCAGTAACTTCTTCCTGTTGTGTGTATTCAACTGACAACAGATGAACCTTCCTTTAGAGAGAGCAGATTTGAAACACTCTTTTTGTGGAATTTGCAAGTGGAGATTTCAGCCGCTTTAACGTCAATGGTAGAAAAGGAAATATCTTCGCATAAAAGCAAGACAGAATCATTTTCAGAAACTGCTTTGTGATGTGTGCATTCAACTCACAGAGTTTAACCTTTGTTTTCATAGAGCCATTTGGAAACACACAGTTTGTCTAACCTGTAAGTCGATATTCGGACCTATTTGAGGCCTTCGTTGGAAACGGGATTTCTTCATATAATGCTAGAAAGAAGAATTCTCAGTAACTTCCTTGTGTTGTGTGTAATCAACTCACAGAATAGAACGTTCCTTTAGATAGAGCAGATTTGAAACACTCTTTTTGTGGAAGTTGCACGTGGAGATTTCAAGCGCTTTGTGGCCAGTGGTAGAAAATGAAATATCTTCGTATAAAAAGTACACAGAATCATTCTCAGAAACTACTTTCTGATGTGTGCGTTCAACTCTCGGAGTTTAAACTTTCTTTTCATAGAGCAGTTTGGAAACAGTGTGTTTGTAAAGTCTGCAAGTGGATATTCGGACCTCTTTGGCGCCTTAATTTGAAACGGGGTTTCTCCCTATAATGCTAGACAGAAGAATTCTCAGTAACTTGTTTGTGTTGTGTGTGTTCAACTCACAGAGTTGAACCTTCCTTTAGACAGAGCAGATTTGAAACACTTTTTGTGGAATTTGCAAGTGGAGATTTCAATCGCTTTGAGGCCAAAGGCAGAAAAGGAAATATCTTCGTATAAAAACTAGATAGATCATTCTCAGAAACTGCTTTGTGATGTGTGCGTTCAACTCACAGAGTTTCACTTATCTTTTCGTACAGCAGTTTGGAGACACTCTGTTTGTAATGTCTGCAAGTGGATATTTTGACCTCTTTGAGGTCTTCGTTGGAAACGGGTTTTATTCATGTAAGGCTAGACAGAAGAATTCTCAGTAACTTCTTTGTATTGTGTGTATTCCACTGACAGAGTTGACCCTTCCTTTAGACAGAGCACATTTGAACCACTCTTTTTGTGGAATTTGCAAGTGGAGATTTCAGACGCATTGAGGTCAATGGTAGAAAAGGAAATATCTTCGTATAAAAACTAGACAGAATGATTCTCAGAACCTGCTTCGTGATGTGTGTGTTCAGTTCAAAGAGTTTTACCTTTCTTTTCATAGAGCAGTTAGGAAACACTCTGTTTGAACAGTCTGAAAGTGGATATTCCGATCTCTTTGAGGCCTTCGTTGGAAAAGGGATTTCTTCATATAATGCTAGACAGAGGAATTCTCAGTAACTTCTCTGTGTTGTGTGTATTCAAATCACAGAGTTGAACGTTCCTTTAGACAGAGCAGACTTGAAACACTCTTTTTGTGGAATTTGCAATAGGAAATTTCAAGCGCTTTGAGGCCAAAGGCAGAAGAGGAAATATCTTCGTATAAAAACAAGTCAGAATCATTCTCAGAAACTGCTTAATCATGTGTGCGTTCAACTCACGGAGTTTAACCTACCTTTTCATACAGCAGTTTGGAAACACTCTGTTTGGAAAGTCTGCACGTGGATATTTGGACATCTTTGAGGCCTTCGTTGGAAACGGGTTTTATTCATGTAAGGCTAGACAGAAGATTTCTCAGTAACTTCTTTGTGTTGTGTGTATTCAACTGACAGAGTTGACCCTTCTTTTAGGTAGAGCAGATTTGAGACACTCTTTTTGTGGAATTTGCAAGTGGAGATTTCAGACGCTTTGAGGTCAATGGTAGAAAAGGACATTTCTTCGTATAAAAACTTGACAGAATGATTCTCAGAAACTGCTTTGTGATGTATGCGTTCAATTCAAAGAGTTCTACCTTTCTTTTCATAGAGCACTTAGGAAACACTCTGTTTGTAAAGACTGCAAGTGGATATTCGGACCTCTATGAGGCCTTCTTTGGAAAAGGGATTTCTTCATATAATGCTAGACAGAGGAATTCTTCGTAACTTCTTTGTATTGTGTGTATTCAACTCACAGAGTTGAACCTTCTTTTAGATAGAGCAGATTTGAAACACACTTTCTGTGGAATTTCCAATTGGAGATTTCAAGCGCTTCGGGGCCAATGGTAGAAAAGGAAAAATCTTCACAAATAAACTAGACAAAATCATTCCCAGAAACTGTGTAGTGATGTGTATGTTTAACTCACAGAGTTTATCCTTTCTTTTCATAGAGCAGTTGGGAAACACTCTGTTTGAAAAGTCTGCATGTGGATATTTGGACCGCCATGAGGCGTTCTTTGGAAATGGTATTTCTTCATTTAAGGCTACACAGAAGAATTCTCAGTAACTTCCTCGTGTTGTGTGTATTCAGCTCACAGAGTTGAACCTTCTTTTAGATAGAGCAGATTTGAAAGACACTTTTTGGGGAATTTGCAAGTGGGGATTTCAAGCGCTTTGAGGCCAACGGTAGAAAAGGAAATATCTTCGAATAAAAAGTAGACAGAATCATTCCCAGAAACTGCGTTTTGATGTGTGCGTTCACCTAACAGAGTTTAACCTTCCTTTTCATAGAGCAGTTGGGAAACGCTATGTTTGTAAAGTCTGCAAGTGGATATTGGGAACTCTTTGAGGCCTTCATTGGGAATGGGGTTTCTTCATATAATGCTAGACAGAAGATTTCCCAGTAACTTCTTCCTGTTGTGTGTATTCAACTGACAACAGATGAACCTTCCTTTAGAGAGAGCAGATTTGAAACACTCTTTTTGTGGAATTTGCAAGTGGAGATTTCAGCCGCTTTAACGTCAATGGTAGAAAAGGAAATATCTTCGCATAAAAGCAAGACAGAAATCATTTTCAGAAACTGCTTTGTGATGTGTGCATTCAACTCACAGAGTTTAACCTTTGTTTTCCTAGAGCCGTTTGGAAACACACAGTTTGTCAAATCTGTAAGTCGATATTCGGACCTATTTGAGGCCTTCGTTGGAAACGGGATTTCTTCATATAATGCTAGAAAGAAGAATTCTCAGTAACTTCCTTGTGTTGTGTGTAATCAACTCACAGAATAGAACGTTCCTTTAGATAGAGCAGATTTGAAACACTCTTTTTGTGGAAGTTGCACGTGGAGATTTCAAGCGCTTTGTGGCCAGTGGTAGAAAATGAAATATGCTTCGTATAAAAAGTACACAGAATCATTCTCAGAAACTACTTTCTGATGTGTGCGTTCAACTCTCGGAGTTTAAACTTTCTTTTCATAGAGCAGTTTGGAAACAGTGTGTTTGTAAAGTCTGCAAGTGGATATTCGGACCTCTTTGGCGCCTTATTTTGAAACGGGGTTTCTCCATATAATGCTACACAGAAGAATTCTCAGTAACTTGTTTGTGTTGTGTGTGTTCAACTCACAGAGTTGAACCTTCCTTTAGACAGAGCAGATTTGAAACACTCTTTTTGTGGAATTTGCAAGTGGAGATTTCAAGCGCTTTGAGGCCAAAGGCAGAAAAGGAAATATCTTCGTATAAAAACTAGATAGTCATTCTCAGAAACTGCTTTGTGATGTGTGCGTTCAACTCACAGAGTTTCACTTATCTTTTCGTACAGCAGCTTGGAAACACTCTGTTTGTAATGTCTGCAAGTGGATATTTTGACCTCTTTTAGGTCTTCGTTGGAAACGGGTTTTATTCATGTAAGGCTAGACAGAAGAATTCTCAGTAACTTCTTTGTATTGTGTGTATTCCACTGACAGAGTTGACCCTTTCTTTAGACAGAGCACATTTGAACCACTCTTTTTGTGGAATTTGCAAGTGGAGATTTCAGACGCATTGAGGTCAATGGTAGAAAAGGAAATATCTTCGTATAAAAACTAGACAGAATGATTCTCAGAACCTGCTTCGTCATGTGTGTGTTCAGTTCAAAGAGTTTTACCTTTCTTTTCATAGAGCAGTTAGGAAACACTCTGTTTGAAAAGTCTGAAAGTGGATATTCCGATCTCTTTGAGGCCTTCGTTGGAAAAGGGATTTCTTCATATAATGCTAGACAGAGGAATTCTCAGTAACTTCTCTGTGTTGTGTGTATTCAAATCACAGAGTTGAACGTTCCTTTAGACAGAGCAGACTTGAAACACTCTTTTTGTGGAATTTGCAATAGGAAATTTCAAGCGCTTTGAGGCCAAAGGCAGAAGAGGAAATATCTTCGTATAAAAACAAGTCAGAATCATTCTCAGAAACTGCTTAATCATGTGTGCGTTCGACTCACGGAGTTTAACCTACCTTTTCATACAGCAGTTTGGAAACACTCTGTTTGTAAAGTCTGCACGTGGATATTTGGACATCTTTGAGGCCTTCGTTGGAAACGGGTTTTATTCATGTAAGGCTAGACAGAAGATTTCTCAGTAACTTCTTTGTGTTGTGTGTATTCAACTGACAGAGTTGACCCTTCTTTTAGGTAGAGCAGATTTGAGACACTCTTTTTGTGGAATTTGCAAGTGGAGATTTCAGACGCTTTGAGGTCAATGGTAGAAAAGGACATTTCTTCGTATAAAAACTTGACAGAATGATTCTCAGAAACTGCTTTGTGATGTATGCGTTCAATTCAAAGAGTTCTACCTTTCTTTTCATAGAGCACTTAGGAAACACTCTGTTTGTAAAGACTGCAAGTGGATATTCGGACCTCTATGAGGCCTTCTTTGGAAAAGGGATTTCTTCATATAATGCTAGACAGAGGAATTCTTCGTAACTTCTTTGTATTGTGTGTATTCAACTCACAGAGTTGAACCTTCTTTTAGATAGAGCAGATTTGAAACACACTTTCTGTGGAATTTCCAATTGGAGATTTCAAGCGCTTCAGGGCCAATGGTAGAAAAGGAAAAATCTTCACATAAAAACTAGACAAACTCATTCCCAGAAACTGTGTAGTGATGTGTATGTTTAACTCGCAGAGTTTATCCTTTCTTTTCATAGAGCAGTTGGGAAACACTCTGTTTGAAAAGTCTGCATGTGGATATTTGGACCGCCATGAGGCGTTCTTTGGAAATGGTATTTCTTCATTTAAGGCTACACAGAAGAATTCTCAGTAACTTCCTTGTGTTGTGTGTATTCAGCTCACAGAGTTGAACCTTCTTTTAGATAGAGCAGATTTGAAAGACACTTTTTGGGGAATTTGCAAGTGGGGATTTCAAGCGCTTTGAGGCCAACGGTGGAAAAGGAAATATCTTCGAATAAAAAGTAGACAGAATCATTCCCAGAAACTGCGTTTTGATGTGTGCGTTCACCTAACAGAGTTTAACCTTCCTTTTCATAGAGCAGTTGGGAAACGCTATGTTTGTAAAGTCTGCAAGTGGATATTGGGAACTCTTTGAGGCCTTCATTGGGAATGGGGTTTCTTCATATAATGCTAGACAGAAGATTTCCCAGTAACTTCTTCCTGTTGTGTGTATTCAACTGACAACAGATGAACCTTCCTTTAGAGAGAGCATATTTGAAACACTCTTTTTGTGGAAGTTGCAAGTGGAGATTTCAGCCGCTTTAACGTCAATGGTAGAAAAGGAAATATCTTCGCATAAAAACAAGACAGAATCATTTTCAGAAACTGCTTTGTGATGTGTGCATTCAACTCACAGAGTTTAACCTTTGTTTTCATAGAGCCGTTTGGAAACACACAGTTTGTCAAATCTGTAAGTCGATATTCGGACCTATTTGAGGCCTTCGTTGGAAACGGGATTTCTTCATATAATGCTAGAAAGAATTCTCAGTAACTTCCTTGTGTTGTGTGTAATCAACTCACAGAATAGAACGTTCCTTTAGATAGAGCAGATTTGAAACACTCTTTTTGTGGAAGTTGCACGTGGAGATTTCAAGCGCTTTGTGACCAGTGGTAGAAAATGAAATATCTTCGTATAAAAAGTACACAGAATCATTCTCAGAAACTACTTTCTGATGTGTGCGTTCAACTCTCGGAGTTTAAACTTTCTTTTCATAGAGCAGTTTGGAAACAGTGTGTTTGTAAAGTCTGCAAGTGGATATTCGGACCTCTTTGGCGCCTTATTTTGAAACGGGGTTTCTCCATATAATGCTAGACAGAAGACTTCTCAGTAACTTGTTTGTGTTGTGTGTGTTCAACTCACAGAGTTGAACCTTCCTTTAGACAGAGCAGATTTGAAACACTCTTTTTGTGGAATTTGCAAGTGGAGATTTCAAGCGCTTTGAGGCCAAAGGCAGAAAAGGAAATATCTTCGTATAAAAACTAGATAGATCATTCCCAGAAACTGTGTAGTGATGTGTATGTTTAACTCACAGAGTTTAACATTTCTTTTCATAGAGCAGTTGGGAAACGCTCTGTTTGAAAAGTCTGCCTGTGGATATTTGGACCGCCATGAGGCGTTCTTTGAAAATGGTATTTCTTCATTTAAGGCTACACAGAAGAATTCTCAGTAACTTCCTTGTGTTGTGTGTATTCAACTCACAGAGTTGAACGATCCTTTACACTGAGCAGACTTGAAACACTCTTTTTGTGGAATTTGCAAGTGGAGATTTCTGCCGCTTTGAGGTCAATGGTAGAAAAGGAAATATCTTCGTACAGAAACTAGACAGAATGATTCTCAGAAACTCCTTTGTTATGTGTGCGTTCAACTCACAGAATTTAACCTTTCTTTTCATAGAGTAGTTAGGAAACACTCTGTTTGTGAAGTCTGCCAGTGGATATTCAGACCTCTTTGAGGCCTTCGTTGGAAACGGGGTTTCTTCATATTATGCTAGACAGAAGAATTCTCAGTAACTTCCTTGTGTTGTGTGCATTCAACTCACAGAGTTGAATGATCCTTTACACAGAGCAGATTAGAAACACTCTTTTTGTGGAATTTGCAAGTGGAGATTTCAGCCGCTTTGAGGTCAACGGTAGAAAAGGAAATATCTTCGTATAGAAATTAGACAGAATGATTCTCAGAAACTACTTTCTGATGTGTGCGTTCAACTCACAGAGTTTAAACTTTCTTTTCATAGAGCAGTTTGGAAACAGTCTGTTTGTAAAGTCTGCAAGTGGATATTCGGACCTCTCTGGCGCCTTATTTTGAAACGGGGTTTCTCCATATAAGGCTAGACAGAAGAATTCTCAGTAACTTGTTTGTGTTGTGTGTGTTCAACTCACAGAGTTGAACCTTCCTTTAGACAGAGCAGATTAGAAACACTCTTTTTGTGGAATTTGCAAGTGGAGATTTCAAGCGCTTTCAAGCCAAAGGCAGAAAAGGAAATATCTTCGTATAAAAACTAGATAGTCATTCTCAGAAACTGCTTTGTGATGTGTGCGTTCAACTCACAGAGTTTCACTTATCTTTTCATACAGCAGTTTGGAAACACTCTGTTTGTAATGTCTGCAAGTGGATATTTTGACCTCTTTGAGGTCTTCGTTGGAAACGGGTTTTATTCATGTAAGGCTAGACAGAAGAATTCTCAGTAACTTCTTTATATTGTGTGTATTCCACTGACAGAGTTGACCCTTCCTTTAGACAGAGCACATTTGAACCACTCTTTTTGTGGAATTTGCAAGTGGAGATTTCAGACGCATTGAGGTCAATGGTAGAAAAGGAAATATCTTCGTATAAAAACTAGACAGAATGATTCTCAGAACCTGCTTCGTGATGTGTGTGTTCAGTTCAAAGAGTTTTACCTTTCTTTTCATAGAGCAGTTAGGAAACACTCTGTTTGAACAGTCTGAAAGTGGATATTCCGATCTCTTTGAGGCCTTCGTTGGAAAAGGGATTTCTTCATATAATGCTAGACAGAGGAATTCTCAGTAACTTCTCTGTGTTGTGTGTATTCAAATCACAGAGTTGAACGTTCCTTTAGACAGAGCAGACTTGAAACACTCTTTTTTGTGGAATTTGCAATAGGAAATTTCAAGCGCTTTGAGGCCAAAGGCAGAAGAGGAAATATCTTCGTATAAAAACAAGTCAGAATCATTCTCAGAAACTGCTTAATCATGTGTGCGTTCGACTCACGGAGTTTAACCTACCTTTTCATACAGCAGTTTGGAAACACTCTGTTTGTAAAGTCTGCACGTGGATATTTGGACATCTTTGAGGCCTTCGTTGGAAACGGGTTTTATTCATGTAAGGCTAGACAGAAGATTTCTCAGTAACTTCTTTGTGTTGTGTGTATTCAACTGACAGAGTTGACCCTTCTTTTAGGTAGAGCAGATTTGACACACTCTTTTTGTGGAATTTGCAAGTGGAGATTTCAGACGCTTTGAGGTCAATGGTAGAAAAGGACATTTCTTCGTATAAAAACTTGACAGAATGATTCTCAGAAACTGCTTTGTGATATATGCGTTCAATTCAAAGAGTTCTACCTTTCTTTTCATAGAGCACTTAGGAAACACTCTGTTTGTAAAGACTGCAAGTGGATATTCGGACCTCTATGAGGCCTTCTTTGGAAAAGGGATTTCTTCATATAATGCTAGACAGAGGAATTCTTCGTAACTTCTTTGTATTGTGTGTATTCAACTCACAGAGTTGAACCTTCTTTTAGATAGAGCAGATTTGAAACACACTTTCTGTGGAATTTCCAATTGGAGATTTCAAGCGCTTCAGGGCCAATGGTAGAAAAGGAAAAATCTTCACATAAAAACTAGACAAAATCATTCCCAGAAACTGTGTAGTGATGTGTATGTTTAACTCACAGAGTTTATCCTTTCTTTTCATAGAGCAGTTGGGAAACACTCTGTTTGAAAAGTCTGCATGTGGATATTTGGACCGCCATGAGGCGTTCTTTGGAAATGGTATTTCTTCATTTAAGGCTACACAGAAGAATTCTCAGTAACTTCCTCGTGTTGTGTGTATTCAGCTCACAGAGTTGAACCTTCTTTTAGATAGAGCAGATTTGAAAGACACTTTTTGGGGAATTTGCAAGTGGGGATTTCAAGCGCTTTGAGGCCAACGGTAGAAAAGGAAATATCTTCAAATAAAAAGTAGACAGAATCATTCCCAGAAACTGCGTTTTGATGTGTGCGTTCACCTAACAGAGTTTAACCTTCCTTTTCATAGAGCAGTTGGGAAACGCTATGTTTGTAAAGTCTGCAAGTGGATATTGGGAACTCTTTGAGGCCTTCATTGGGAATGGGGTTTCTTCATATAATGCTAGACAGAAGAATTCTCAGTAACTTCCGTGTGTTGTGTGTAATCAACTCACAGAATAGAACGTTCCTTTAGATAGAGCAGATTTGAAACACTCTTTTTGTGGAAGTTGCACGTGGAGATTTCAAGCGCTTTGTGGCCAGTGGTAGAAAATGAAATATCTTCGTATAAAAAGTACACAGAATCATTCTCAGAAACTACTTTCTGATGTGTGCGTTCAACTCTCGGAGTTTAAACTTTCTTTTCATAGAGCAGTTTGGAAACAGTGTGTTTGTAAAGTCTGCAAGTGGATATTCGGACCTCTTTGGCGCCTTATTTTGAAACGGGTTTTCTCCATATAATGCTAGACAGAAGAATTCTCAGTAACTTGTTTGTGTTGTGTGTGTTCAACTCACAGAGTTGAACCTTCCTTTAGACAGAGCAGATTAGAAACACTCTTTTTGTGGAATTTGCAAGTGGAGATTTCAAGCGCTTTCAAGGCAAAGACAGAAAAGGAAATATCTTCGTATAAAAACTAGATAGATCATTCTCAGAAACTGCTTTGTGATGTGTGCGTTCAACTCACAGAGTTTCACTTATCTTTTCATACAGCAGTTTGGAAACACTCTGTTTGTAATGTCTGCAAGTGGATATTTTGACCTCTTTGAGGTCTTCGTTGGAAACGGGTTTTATTCATGTAAGGCTAGACAGAAGAATTCTCAGTAACTTCTTTGTATTGTGTGTATTCCACTGACAGAGTTGACCCTTCCTTTAGACAGAGCACATTTGAACCACTCTTTTTGTGGAATTTGCAAGTGGAGATTTCAGACGCATTGAGGTCAATGGTAGAAAAGGAAATATACTTCGTATAAAAACTAGACAGAATGATTCTCAGAACCTGCTTCGTGATGTGTGTGTTCAGTTCAAAGAGTTTTACCTTTCTTTTCATAGAGCAGTTAGGAAACACTCTGTTTGAACAGTCTGAAAGTGGATATTCCGATCTCTTTGAGGCCTTCGTTGGAAAAGGGATTTCTTCATATAATGCTAGACAGAGGAATTCTCAGTAACTTCTCTGTGTTGTGTGCATTCAAATCACAGAGTTGAACGTTCCTTTAGACAGAGCAGACTTGAAACACTCTTTTTGTGGAATTTGCAATAGGAAATTTCAAGCGCTTTGAGGCCAAAGGCAGAAGAGGAAATATCTTCGTATAAAAACAAGTCAGAATCATTCTCAGAAACTGCTTAATCATGTGTGCGTTCGACTCATGGAGTTTAACCTACCTTTTCATACAGCAGTTTGGAAACACTCTGTTTGGAAAGTCTGCACGTGGATATTTGGACATCTTTGAGGCCTTCGTTGGAAACGGGTTTTATTCATGTAAGGCTAGACCGAAGATTTCTCAGTAACTTCTTTGTGTTGTGTGTATTCAACTGACAGAGTTGACCCTTCTTTTAGGTAGAGCAGATTTGAGACACTCTTTTTGTGGAATTTGCAAGTGGAGATTTCAGACGCTTTGAGGTCAATGGTAGAAAAGGACATTTCTTCGTATAAAAACTTGACAGAATGATTCTCAGAAACTGCTTTGTGATGTATGCGTTCAATTCAAAGAGTTCTACCTTTCTTTTCATAGAGCACTTAGGAAACACTCTGTTTGTAAAGACTGCAAGTGGATATTCGGACCTCTATGAGGCCTTCTTTGGAAAAGGGATTTCTTCATATAATGCTAGACAGAGGAATTCTTCGTAACTTCTTTGTATTGTGTGTATTCAACTCACAGAGTTGAACCTTCTTTTAGATAGAGCAGATTTGAAACACACTTTCTGTGGAATTTCCAATTGGAGATTTCAAGCGCTTCGGGGCCAATGGTAGAAAAGGAAAAATCTTCACAAAAAAACTAGACAAAATCATTCCCAGAAACTGTGTAGTGATGTGTATGTTTAACTCACAGAGTTTATCCTTTCTTTTCATAGAGCAGTTGGGAAACACTCTGTTTGAAAAGTCTGCATGTGGATATTTGGTCCGCCATGAGGCGTTCTTTGGAAATGGTATTTCTTCATTTAAGGCTACACAGAAGAATTCTCAGTAACTTCCTTGTGTTGTGTGTATTCAGCTCACAGAGTTGAACCTTCTTTTAGATAGAGCAGATTTGAAAGACACTTTTTGGGGAATTTGCAAGTGGGGATTTCAAGCGCTTTGAGGCCAACGGTAGAAAAGGATATATCTTCGAATAAAAAGTAGACAGAATTATTCCCAGCAAACTGCGTTTTGATGTGTGCGTTCACCTAACAGAGTTTAACCTTCCTTTTCATAGAGCAGTTGGGAAACGCTATGTTTGTAAAGTCTGCAAGTGGATATTGGGAACTCTTTGAGGCCTTCATTGGGAATGGGGTTTCTTCATATAATGCTAGACAGAAGATTTCCCAGTAACTTCTTCCTGTTGTGTGTATTCAACTGACAACAGATGAACCTTCCTTTACAGAGAGCAGATTTGAAACACTCTTTTTGTGGAATTTGCAAGTGGAGATTTCAGCCGCTTTAACGTCAATGGTAGAAAAGGAAATATCTTCGCATAAAAACAAGACAGAATCATTTTCAGAAACTGCTTTGTGATGTGTGCATTCAACTCACAGAGTTTAACCTTTGTTTTCCTAGAGCCGTTTGGAAACACACAGTTTGTCAAATCTGTAAGTCGATATTCGGACCTATTTGAGGCCTTCGTTGGAAACGGGATTTCTTCATATAATGCTAGAAAGAAGAATTCTCAGTAACTTCCTTGTGTTGTGTGTAATCAACTCACAGAATAGAACGTTCCTTTAGATAGAGCAGATTTGAAACACTCTTTTTGTGGAAGTTGCACGTGGAGATTTCAAGCGCTTTGTGGCCAGTGGTAGAAAATGAAATATCTTCGTATAAAAAGTACACAGAATCATTCTCAGTAGCTACTTTGTGATGTCTGCGTTCAACTCAGTGAGTTTAACCTTTCAATTCATACAGCAGTTTGGAAACACTCTGTTTATAAAGTCTGCAAGAGGATAGTTGGACCTCTTTGATGCCTTCATTGGAAACGGGATTTCTTCATATAATGCTACACAGAAGAATTCACAGTAACTTCTTTGTGTTGTGTGTATTCAACTCACAGAGGTGAAAGTTCGTTTAGACACAGCAGATTTCATACACACTTTTTGTGTAATTTGCAACTGGAGATTTCAAGCGCTTTAATGTCAATGGTAGAAAAAGAAATATCTTCGTTTAAAAACTAGAGAGAATCATTCTCAGAAACTACTTTGTGATGTTTGCGTTCAACTCACAGAGTTTAACCTTTCTTTTCATAGAGCAGTTTGGAAACACTCTGTTTGTACAGTCTGCAAGTGGATATTCGGACGTCTTTGAGGCCTTCGTTGGAATCGGGATTTCTTCATATAATACTAGAAAGAAGAATTCTCAGTAACTTCCTTGTGTTGTGTGTAATCAACTCACGGAATAGAACGTTCCTTTAGATAGAGCAGATTTGAAACACTCTTTTTGTGGAAGTTGCACGTGGAGATTTCAAGCGCTATGTGGCCAGTGGTAGAAAATGAAATATCTTCGTATAAAAAGTACACAGAATCATTCTCAGAAACTACTTTCTGATGTGTGCGTTCAACTCTCGGAGGTTAAACTTTCTTTTCATAGAGCAGTTTGGAAACAGTGTGTTTGTAAAGTCTGCAAGTGGATATTCGGACCTCTTTGGCGCCTTAATTTGAAACGGGGTTTCTCCCTATAATGCTAGACAGAAGAATTCTCAGTAACTTGTTTGTGTTGTGTGTGTTCAACTCACAGAGTTGAACCTTCCTTTAGACAGAGCAGATTTGAAACACTCTTTTTGTGGAATTTGCAAGTGGAGATTTCAAGCGCTTTGAGGCCAAAGGCAGAAAAGGAAATATCTTCGTATAAAAACTACATAGATCATTCTCAGAAACTGCTTTGTGATGTGTGCGTTCAACTCACAGAGTTTCACTTATCTTTTCGTACAGCAGTTTGGAAACACTCTGTTTGTGATGTCTGCAAGTGGATATTTTGACCTCTTTGAGGTCTTCGTTGGAAACGGGTTTTATTCATGTAAGGCTAGACAGAAGAATTCTCAGTAACTTCTTTGTATTGTGTGTATTCCACTGACAGAGTTGACCCTTCCTTTAGACAGAGCACATTTGAACCACTCTTTTTGTGGAATTTGCAAGTGGAGATTTCAGACGCATTGAGGTCAATGGTAGAAAAGGAAATATCTTCGTATAAAAACTACACAGAATGATTCTCAGAACCTGCTTCGTGATGTGTGTGTTCAGTTCAAAGAGTTTTACCTTTCTTTTCATAGAGCAGTTAGGAAACACTCTGTTTGAACAGTCTGAAAGTGGATATTCCGATCTCTTTGAGGCCTTCGTTGGAAAAGGGATTTCTTCATATAATGCTAGACAGAGGAATTCTCAGTAACTTCTCTGTGTTGTGTGTATTCAAATCACAGAGTTGAACGTTCCTTTAGACAGAGCAGACTTGAAACACTCTTTTTGTGGAATTTGCAATAGCAAATTTCCAGCGCTTTGAGGCCAAAGGCAGAAGAGGAAATATCTTCGTATAAAAACAAGTCAGAATCATTCTCAGAAACTGCTTAATCATGTGTGCGTTCAACTCACGGAGTTTAACCTACCTTTTCATACAGCAGTTTGGAAACACTCTGTTTGTAAAGTCTGCACGTGGATATTTGGACATCTTTGAGGCCTTCGTTGGAAACGGGTTTTATTCAGGTAAGGCTAGACAGAAGATTTCTCAGTAACTTCTTTGTGTTGTGTGTATTCAACTGACTGAGTTCACCCTTCTTTTAGGTAGAGCAGATTTGAGACACTCTTTTTGTGGAATTTGCAAGTGGAGATTTCAGACGCTTTGAGATCAATGGTAGAAAAGGACATTTCTTCGTATAAAAACTTGACAGAATGATTCTCAGAAACTGCTTTGTGATGTATGCGTTCAATTCAAAGAGTTCTACCTTTCTTTTCATAGAGCACTTAGGAAACACTCTGTTTGTAAAGACTGCAAGTGGATATTCGGACCTCTATGAGGCCTTCTTTGGAAAAGGGATTTCTTCATATAATGCTAGACAGAGGAATTCTTCGTAACTTCTTTGTATTGTGTGTATTCAACTCACAGAGTTGAACCTTCTTTTAGATAGAGCAGATTTGAAACACACTTTCTGTGGAATTTCCAATTGGAGATTTCAAGCGCTTCGGGGCCAATGGTAGAAAAGGAAAAATCTTCACATAAAAACTAGACAAAATCATTCCCAGAAACTGTGTAGTGATGTGTATGTTTAACTCACAGAGTTTATCCTTTCTTTTCATAGAGCAGTTGGGAAACACTCTGTTTGAAAAGTCTGCATGTGGATATTTGGACCGCCATGAGGCGTTCTTTGGAAATGGTATTTCTTCATTTAAGGCTACACAGAAGAATTCTCAGTAACTTTCCTTGTGTTGTGTGTATTCAGCTCACAGAGTTGAACCTTCTTTTAGATAGAGCAGATTTGAAAGACACTTTTTGGGGAATTTGCAAGTGGGGATTTCAAGCGCTTTGAGGCCAACGGTAGAAAAGGAAATATCTTCGAATAAAAAGTAGACAGAATCATTCCCAGAAACTGCGTTTTGATGTGTGCGTTCACCTAACAGAGTTTAACCTTCCTTTTCATAGAGCAGTTGGGAAACGCTATGTTTGTAAAGTCTGCAAGTGGATATTGGGAACTCTTTGAGGCCTTCATTGGGAATGGGGTTTCTTCATATAATGCTAGACAGAAGATTTCCCAGTAACTTCTTCCTGTTGTGTGTATTCAACTGACAACAGATGAACCTTCCTTTAGAGAGAGCAGATTTGAAACACTCTTTTTGTGGAAGTTGCAAGTGGAGATTTCAGCCGCTTTAACGTCAATGGTAGAAAAGGAAATATCTTCGCATAAAAACAAGACAGAATCATTTTCAGAAACTGCTTTGTGATGTGTGCATTCAACTCACAGAGTTTAACCTTTGTTTTCATAGAGCCGTTTGGAAACACACAGTTTGTCAAATCTGTAATTCGATATTCGGACCTATTTGAGGCCTTCGTTGGAAACGGGATTTCTTCATATAATGCTAGAAAGAAGAATTCTCAGTAACTTCCTTGGGTTGTGTGTAATCAACTCACAGAATAGAACGTTCCTTTAGATAGAGCAGATTTGAAACACTCTTTTTGTGGAATTTGCACGTGGAGATTTCAAGCGCTTTGTGGCCAATGGTAGAAAATGAAATATCTTCGTATAAAAAGTACACAGAATCATTCTCAGAAACTACTTTCTGATGTGTGCGTTCAACTCTCGGAGTTTAAACTTTCTTTTCATAGAGCAGTTTGGAAACAGTGTGTTTGTAAAGTCTGAAAGTGGATATTCGACCTCTTTGGCGCCTTATTTTGAAACGGGGTTTCTCCATATAATGCTAGACAGAAGAATTCTCAGTAACTTGTTTGTGTTGTGTGTGTTCAACTCACAGAGTTGAACCTTCCTTTAGACAGAGCAGATTTGAAACACTCTTTTTGTGGAATTTGCAAGTGGAGATTTCAAGCGCTTTGAGGCCAAAGGCAGAAAAGGAAATATCTTCGTATAAAAACTAGATAGATCATTCTCAGAAACTGCTTTGTGATGTGTGCGTTCAACTCACAGAGTTTCACTTATCTTTTCGTACAGCAGTTTGCAAACACTCTGTTTGTAATGTCTGCAAGTGGATATTTTGACCTCTTTGAGGTCTTCGTTGGAAACGGGTTTTATTCATGTAAGGCTAGACAGAAGAATTCTCAGTAACTTCTTTGTATTGTGTGTATTCCACTGACAGAGTTGACCCTTCCTTTAGACAGAGCACATTTGAACCACTCTTTTTGTGGAATTTGCAAGTGGAGATTTCAGACGCATTGAGGTCAATGGTAGAAAAGGAAATATCTTCGTATTAAAACTAGACAGAATGATTCTCAGAACCTGCTTCGTGATGTGTGTGTTCAGTTCAAAGAGTTTTACCTTTCTTTTCATAGAGCAGTTAGGAAACACTCTGTTTGAACAGTCTGAAAGTGGATATTCCGATCTCTTTGAGGCCTTCGTTGGAAAAGGGATTTCTTCATATAATGCTAGACAGACGAATTCTCAGTAACTTCTCTGTGTTGTGTGTATTCAAATCACAGAGTTGAACGTTCCTTTAGACAGAGCAGACTTGAAACACTCTTTTTGTGGAATTTGCAATAGCAAATTTCAAGCGCTTTGAGGCCAAAGGCAGAAGAGGAAATATCTTCGTATAAAAACAAGTCAGAATCATTCTCAGAAACTGCTTAATCATGTGTGCGTTCGACTCACGGAGTTTAACCTACCTTTTCATACAGCAGTTTGGAAACACTCTGTTTGTAAAGTCTGCACGTGGATATTTGGACATCTTTGAGGCCTTCGTTGGAAACGGGTTTTATTCATGTAAGGCTAGACAGTAGATTTCTCAGTAACTTCTTTGTGTTGTGTGTATTCAACTGACAGAGTTGACCCTTCTTTTAGGTAGAGCAGATTTGAGACACTCTTTTTGTGGAATTTGCAAGTGGAGATTTCAGACGCTTTGAGGTCAATGGTAGAAAAGGACATTTCTTCGTATAAAAACTTGACAGAATGATTCTCAGAAACTGCTTTGTGATGTATGCGTTCAATTCAAAGAGTTCTACCTTTCTTTTCATAGAGCACTTAGGAAACACTCTGTTTGTAAAGACTGCAAGTGGATATTCGGACCTCTATGAGGCCTTCTTTGGAAAAGGGATTTCTTCATATAATGCTAGACAGAGGAATTCTTCGTAACTTCTTTGTATTGTGTGTATTCAACTCACAGAGTTGAACCTTCTTTTAGATAGAGCAGATTTGAAACACACTTTCTGTGGAATTTCCAATTGGAGATTTCAAGCGCTTCGGGGCCAATGGTAGAAAAGGAAAAATCTTCACATAAAAACTAGACAAAATCATTCCCAGAAACTGTGTAGTGATGTGTATGTTTAACTCACAGAGTTTATCCTTTCTTTTCATAGAGCAGTTGGGAAACACTCTGTTTGAAAAGTCTGCATGTGGATATTTGGACCGCCATGAGGCGTTCTTTGGAAATGGTATTTCTTCATTTAAGGCTACACAGAAGAATTCTCAGTAACTTCCTTGTGTTGTGTGTATTCAGCTCACAGAGTTGAACCTTCTTTTAGATAGAGCAGATTTGAAAGACACTTTTTGGGGAATTTGCAAGTGGGGATTTCAAGCGCTTTGAGGCCAACGGTAGAAAAGGAAATATCTTCGAATAAAAAGTAGACAGAATCATTCCCAGAAACTGCGTTTTGATGTGTGCGTTCACCTAACAGAGTTTAACCTTCCTTTTCATAGAGCAGTTGGGAAACGCTATGTTTGTAAAGTCTGCAAGTGGATATTGGGAACTCTTTGAGGCCTTCATTGGGAATGGGGTTTCTTCATATAATGCTAGACAGAAGATTTCCCAGTAACTTCTTCCTGTTGTGTGTATTCAACTGACAACAGATGAACCTTCCTTTAGAGAGAGCAGATTTGAAAAACTCTTTTTGTGGAATTTGCACGTGGAGATTTCAAGCGCTTTGTGGCCAGTGGTAGAAAATGAAATATCTTCGTATAAAAAGTACACAGAATCATTCTCAGAAACTACTTTCTGATGTGTGCGTTCAACTCTCGGAGTTTAAACTTTCTTTTCATAGAGCAGTTTGGAAACAGTGTGTTTGTAAAGTCTGCAAGTGGATATTCGGACCTCTTTGGCGCCTTATTTTGAAACGGGGTTTCTCCATATAATGCTAGACAGAAGAATTCTCAGTAACTTGTTTGTGTTGTGTGTGTTCAACTCACAGAGTTGAACCTTCCTTTAGACAGAGCAGATTTGAAACACTCTTTTTGTGGAATTTGCAAGTGGAGATTTCAAGCGCTTTGAGGCCAAAGGCAGAAAAGGAAATATCTTCGTATAAAAACTAGATAGTCATTCTCAGAAACTGCTTTGTGATGTGTGCGTTCAACTCACAGAGTTTCACTTATCTTTTCGTACAGCAGTTTGGAGACACTCTGTTTGTAATGTCTGCAAGTGGATATTTTGACCTCTTTGAGGTCTTCGTTGGAAACGGGTTTTATTCATGTAAGGCTAGACAGAAGAATTCTCAGTAACTTCTTTGTATTGTGTGTATTCCACTGACAGAGTTGACCCTTCCTTTAGACAGAGCACATTTGAACCACTCTTTTTGTGGAATTTGCAAGTGGAGATTTCAGACGCATTGAGGTCAATGGTAGAAAAGGAAATATCTTCGTATAAAAACTAGACAGAATGATTCTCAGAACCTGCTTCGTGATGTGTGTGTTCAGTTCAAAGAGTTTTACCTTTCTTTTCATAGAGCAGTTAGGAAACACTCTGTTTGAACAGTCTGAAAGTGGATATTCCGATCTCTTTGAGGCCTTTGTTGGAAAAGGGATTTCTTCATATAATGCTAGACAGAGGAATTCTCAGTAACTTCTCTGTGTTGTGTGTATTCAAATCACAGAGTTGAACGTTCCTTTAGACAGAGCAGACTTGAAACACTCTTTTTGTGGAATTTGCAATAGGAAATTTCAAGCGCTTTGAGGCCAAAGGCAGAAGAGGAAATATCTTCGTATAAAAACAAGTCAGAATCATTCTCAGAAACTGCTTAATCATGTGTGCGTTCGACTCACGGAGTTTAACCTACCTTTTCATACAGCAGTTTGGAAACACTCTGTTTGTAAAGTCTGCACGTGGATATTTGGACATCTTTGAGGCCTTCGTTGGAAACGGGTTTTATTCATGTAAGGCTAGACAGAAGATTTCTCAGTAACTTCTTTGTGTTGTGTGTATTCAACTGACAGAGTTGACCCTTCTTTTAGGTAGAGCAGATTTGAGACACTCTTTTTGTGGAATTTGCAAGTGGAGATTTCAGACGCTTTGAGGTCAATGGTAGAAAAGGACATTTCTTCGTATAAAAACTTGACAGAATGATTCTCAGAAACTGCTTTGTGATGTATGCGTTCAAGTCAAAGAGTTCTACCTTTCTTTTCATAGAGCACTTAGGAAACACTCTGTTTGTAAAGACTGCAAGTGGATATTCGGACCTCTATGAGGCCTTCTTTGGAAAAGGGATTTCTTCATATAATGCTAGACAGAGGAATTCTTCGTAACTTCTTTGTATTGTGTGTATTCAACTCACAGAGTTGAACCTTCTTTTAGATAGAGCAGATTTGAAACACACTTTCTGTGGAATTTCCAATTGGAGATTTCAAGCGCTTCGGGGCCAATGGTAGAAAAGGAAAAATCTTCACATAAAAACTAGACAAAATCATTCCCAGAAAACTGTGTAGTGATGTGTATGTTTAACTCACAGAGTTTATCCTTTCTTTTCATAGAGCAGTTGGGAAACACTCTGTTTGAAAAGTCTGCATGTGGATATTTGGACCGCCATGAGGCGTTCTTTGGAAATGGTATTTCTTCATTTAAGGCTACACAGAAGAATTCTCAGTAACTTCCTTGTGTTGTGTGTATTCAGCTCACAGAGTTGAACCTTCTTTTAGATAGAGCAGATTTGAAAGACACTTTTTGGGGAATTTGCAAGTGGGGATTTCAAGCGCTTTGAGGCCAACGGTAGAAAAGGAAATATCTTCGAATAAAAAGTAGACAGAATCATTCCCAGAAACTGCGTTTTGATGTGTGCGTTCACCTAACAGAGTTTAACCTTCCTTTTCATAGAGCAGTTGGGAAACGCTATGTTTGTAAAGTCTGCAAGTGGATATTGGGAACTCTTTGAGGCCTTCATTGGGAATGGGGTTTCTTCATATAATGCTAGACAGAAGATTTCCCAGTAACTTCTTCCTGTTGTGTGTATTCAACTGACAACAGATGAACCTTCCTTTAGAGAGAGCATATTTGAAACACTCTTTTTGTGGAAGTTGCAAGTGGAGATTTCAGCCGCTTTAACGTCAATGGTAGAAAAGGAAATATCTTCGCATAAAAACAAGACAGAATCATTTTCAGAAACTGCTTTGTGATGTGTGCATTCAACTCACAGAGTTTAACCTTTGTTTTCCTAGAGCCGTTTGGAAACACACAGTTTGTCAAATCTGTAAGTCGATATTCGGACCTATTTGAGGCCTTCGTTGGAAACGGGATTTCTTCATATAATGCTAGAAAGAAGAATTCTCAGTAACTTCCTTGTGTTGTGTGTAATCAACTCACAGAATAGAACGTTCCTTTAGATAGAGCAGATTTGAAACACTCTTTTTGTGGAAGTTGCACGTGGAGATTTCAAGCGCTTTGTGGCCAGTGGTAGAAAATGAAATATCTTCGTATAAAAAGTACACAGAATCATTCTCAGAAACTACTTTCTGATGTGTGCGTTCAACTCTCGGAGTTTAAACTTTCTTTTCATAGAGCAGTTTGGAAACAGTGTGTTTGTAAAGTCTGCAAGTGGATATTCGGACCTCTTTGGCGCCTTATTTTGAAACGGGGTTTCTCCATATAATGCTAGACAGAAGACTTCTCAGTAACTTGTTTGTGTTGTGTGTGTTCAACTCACAGAGTTGAACCTTCCTTTAGACAGAGCAGATTTGAAACACTCTTTTTGTGGAATTTGCAAGTGGAGATTTCAAGCGCTTTGAGGCCAAAGGCAGAAAAGGAAATATCTTCGTATAAAAACTAGATAGATCATTCTCAGAAACTGCTTTGTGATGTGTGCGTTCAACTCACAGAGTTTCACTTATCTTTTCGTACAGCAGTTTGGAAACACTCTGTTTGTAATGTCTGCAAGTGGATATTTTGACCTCTTTGAGGTCTTCGTTGGAAACGGGTTTTATTCATGTAAGGCTAGACAGAAGAATTCTCAGTAACTTCTTTGTATTGTGTGTATTCCACTGACAGAGTTGACCCTTCCTTTAGACAGAGCACATTTGAACCACTCTTTTTGTGGAATTTGCAAGTGGAGATTTCAGACGCATTGAGGACAATGGTAGAAAAGGAAATATCTTCGTATAAAAACTAGACAGAATGATTCTCAGAACCTGCTTCGTGATGTGTGTGTTCAGTTCAAAGAGTTTTACCTTACTTTTCATAGAGCTGTTAGGGAACACTCTGTTTGAACAGTCTGAAAGTGGATATTCCGATCTCTTTGAGGCCTTCGTTGGAAAAGGGATTTCTTCATATAATGCTAGACAGAGGAATTCTCAGTAACTTCTCTGTGTTGTGTGTATTCAAATCACAGAGTTGAACGTTCCTTTAGACAGAGCAGACTTGAAACACTCTTTTTGTGGAATTTGCAATAGGAAATTTCAAGCGCTTTGAGGCCAAAGGCAGAAGAGGAAATATCTTCGTATAAAAACAAGTCAGAATCATTCTCAGAAACTGCTTAATCATGTGTGCGTTCGACTCACGGAGTTTAACCTACCTTTTCATACAGCAGTTTGGAAACACTCTGTTTGTAAAGTCTGCACGTGGATATTTGGACATCTTTGAGGCCTTCGTTGGAAACGGGTTTTATTCATGTAAGGCTAGACAGAAGATTTCTCAGTAACTTCTTTGTGTTGTGTGTATTCAACTGACAGAGTTGACCCTTCTTTTAGGTAGAGCAGATTTGAGACACTCTTTTTGTGGAATTTGCAAGTGGAGATTTCAGACGCTTTGAGGTCAATGGTAGAAAAGGACATTTCTTCGTATAAAAACTTGACAGAATGATTCTCAGAAACTGCTTTGTGATGTATGCGTTCAATTCAAAGAGTTCTACCTTTCTTTTCATAGAGCACTTAGGAAACACTCTGTTTGTAAAGACTGCAAGTGGATATTCGGACCTCTATGAGGCCTTCTTTGGAAAAGGGATTTCTTCATATAATGCTAGACAGAGGAATTCTTCGTAACTTCTTTGTATTGTGTGTATTCAACTCACAGAGTTGAACCTTCTTTTAGATAGAGCAGATTTGAAACACACTTTCTGTGGAATTTCCAATTGGAGATTTCAAGCGCTTCGGGGCCAATGGTAGAAAAGGAAAAATCTTCACATAAAAACTAGACAAAATCATTCCCAGAAACTGTGTAGTGATGTGTATGTTTAACTCCCAGAGTTTATCCTTTCTTTTCATAGAGCAGTTGGGAAACACTCTGTTTGAAAAGTCTGCATGTGGATATTTGGACCGCCATGAGGCGTTCTTTGGAAATGGTATTTCTTCATTTAAGGCTACACAGAAGAATTCTCAGTAACTTCCTTGTGTTGTGTGTATTCAGCTCACAGAGTTGAACCTTCTTTTAGATAGAGCAGATTTGAAAGACACTTTTTGGGGAATTTGCAAGTGGGGATTTCAAGCGCTTTGAGGCCAACGGTAGAAAAGGAAATATCTTCGAATAAAAAGTAGACAGAATCATTCCCAGAAACTGCGTTTTGATGTGTGCGTTCACCTAACAGAGTTTAACCTTCCTTTTCATAGAGCAGTTGGGAAACGCTATGTTTGTAAAGTCTGCAAGTGGATATTGGGAACTCTTTGAGGCCTTCATTGGGAATGGGGTTTCTTCATATAATGCTAGACAGAAGATTTCCCAGTAACTTCTTCCTGTTGTGTGTATTCAACTGACAACAGATGAACCTTCCTTTAGAGAGAGCAGATTTGTAACACTCTTTTTGTGGAATTTGCAAGTGGAGATTTCAGCCGCTTTAACGTCAATGGTAGAAAAGGAAATATCTTCGCATAAAAACAAGACAGAATCATTTTCAGAAACTGCTTTGTGATGTGTGCATTCAACTCACAGAGTTTAACCTTTGTTTTCCTAGAGCCGTTTGGAAACACACAGTTTGTCAAATCTGTAAGTCGATATTCGGACCTATTTGAGGCCTTCGTTGGAAACGGGATTTCTTCATATAATGCTAGAAAGAAGAATTCTCAGTAACTTCCTTGTGTTGTGTGTAATCAACTCACAGAATAGAACGTTCCTTTAGATAGAGCAGATTTGAAACACTCTTTTTGTGGAAGTTGCACGTGGAGATTTCAAGCGCTTTGTGGCCAGTGGTAGAAAATGAAATATCTTCGTATAAAAAGTACACAGAATCATTCTCAGAAACTACTTTCTGATGTGTGCGTTCAACTCTCGGAGGTTAAACTTTCTTTTCATAGAGCAGTTTGGAAACAGTGTGTTTGTAAAGTCTGCAAGTGGATATTCGGACCTCTTTGGCGCCTTAATTTGAAACGGGGTTTCTCCCTATAATGCTAGACAGAAGAATTCTCAGGAAATTCTTTGTGTTGTGTGTATTCAACTCACAGAGTAGAACCTTCCTTTAGACAGAGCAGATTTGAAACACTCTTTTTGTGGAATTTGCAACTGGAGATTTCAAGCGCTTTGAGGCCAATGGTAGAAAAGGAAATATCTTCGTATAAAAATTAGACAGAAGAATTCTCAGCAACTTCTTTGTGTTGTGTGTATTCAACTCACAGTGTTGAACCTTCCTTTAGACAGAGCAGATTTGAAAGACTCTTTTTGTGGAATTTGCAAGTGGAGATTTCAAGCGCTTTGAGGCCAATGGTAGAAAAGGAAATATCTACGTATAAAAATTAGATCATTCTCAGAAACTGCTTTGTGATGTGTGCGTTCAACTCACAGAGTTTCACTTATCTTTTCGTACAGCAACTTGGAAACACTCTGTTTGTAATGTCTGCAAGTGGATATTTTGACCTCTTTTAGGTCTTCGTTGGAAACGGGTTTTATTCATGTAAGGCTAGACAGAAGAATTCTCAGTAACTTCTTTGTATTGTGTGTATTCCACTGACAGAGTTGACCCTTCCTTTAGACAGAGCACATTTGAACCACTCTTTTTGTGGAATTTGCAAGTGGAGATTTCAGACGCATTGAGGTCAATGGTAGAAAAGGAAATATCTTCGTATAAAAACTAGACAGAATGATTCTCAGAACCTGTTTCGTGATGTGTGTGTTCAGTTCAAAGAGTTTTACCTTTCTTTTCATAGAGCAGTTAGGAAACACTCTGTTTGAACAGTCTGAAAGTTGATATTCCGATCTCTTTGAGGCCTTCGTTGGAAAAGGGATTTCTTCATATAATGCTAGACAGAGGAATTCTCAGTAACTTCTCTGTGTTGTGTGTATTCAAATCACAGAGTTGAACGTTCCTTTAGACAGAGCAGACTTGAAACACTCTTTTTGTGGAATTTGCAATAGGAAATTTCAAGCACTTTGAGGCCAAAGGCAGAAGAGGAAATATCTTCGTATAAAAGCAAGTCAGAATCATTCTCAGAAACTGCTTAATCATGTGTGCGTTCGACTCACGGAGTTTAACCTACCTTTTCATACAGCAGTTTGGAAACACTCTGTTTGTAAAGTCTGCACGTGGATATTTGGACATCTTTGAGGCCTTTGTTGGAAACGGGTTTTATTCATGTAAGGCTAGACAGAAGATTTCTCAGTAACTTCTTTGTGTTGTGTGTATTCAACTGACAGAGTTGACCCTTCTTTTAGGTAGAGCAGATTTGAGACACTCTTTTTGTGGAATTTGCAAGTGGAGATTTCAGACGCTTTGAGGTCAATGGTAGAAAAGGAAATTTCTTCGTATAAAATCTTGACAGAATGATTCTCAGAAACTGCTTTGTGATGTATGCGTTCAATTCAAAGAGTTCTACCTTTCTTTTCATAGAGCACTTAGGAAACACTCTGTTTGTAAAGACTGCAAGTGGATATTCGGACCTCTATGAGGCCTTCTTTGGAAAAGGGATTTCTTCATATAATGCTAGACAGAGGAATTCTTCGTAACTTCTTTGTATTGTGTGTATTCAACTCACAGAGTTGAACCTTCTTTTAGATAGAGCAGATTTGAAACACACTTTCTGTGGAATTTCCAATTGGAGATTTCAAGCGCTTCGGGGCCAATGGTAGAAAAGGAAAAATCTTCACATAAAAACTAGACAAAATCATTCCCAGAAACTGTGTAGTGATGTGTATGTTTAACTCACAGAGTTTAACCTTTCTTTTCATAGAGCAGTTGGGAAACACTCTGTTTGAAAAGTCTGCATGTGGATATTTGGACCGCCATGAGGCGTTCTTTGGAAATGGTATTCCTTCATTTAAGGCTACACAGAAGAATTCTCAGTAACTTCCTTGTGTTGTGTGTATTCAGCTCACAGAGTTGAACCTTCTTTTAGATAGAGCAGATTTGAAAGACACTTTTTGGGGAATTTGCAAGTGGAGATTTCAAGCGCTTTGAGGCCAACGGTAGAAAAGGAAATATCTTCGAATAAAAAGTAGACAGAATCATTCCCAGAAACTGCGTTTTGATGTGTGCGTTCACCTAAAAGAGTTTAACCTTCCTTTTCATACAGCAGTTGGGAAACGCTATGTTTGTAAAGTCTGCAAGTGGATATTGGGAACTCTTTGAGGCCTTCATTGGGAATGGGGTTTCTTCATATAATGCTAGACAGAAGATTTCCCAGTAACTTCTTCCTGTTGTGTGTATTCAACTGACAACAGATGAACCTTCCTTTACAGAGAGCAGATTTGAAACACTCTTTTTGTGGAATTTGCAAGTGGAGATTTCAGCCGCTTTAACGTCAATGGTAGAAAAGGAAATATCTTCGCATAAAAACAAGACAGAATCATTTTCAGAAACTGCTTTGTGATGTGTGCATTCAACTCACAGAGTTTAACCTTTGTTTTCATAGAGCCGTTTGGAAACACACAGTTTGTCAAATCTGTAAGTCGATATTCGGACCTATTTGAGGCCTTCGTTGGAAACGGGATTTCTTCATATAATGCTAGAAAGAAGAATTCTCAGTAACTTCCTTGTGTTGTGTGTAATCAACTCACAGAATAGAACGTTCCTTTAGATAGAGCAGATTTGAAACACTCTTTTTGTGGAAGTTGCACGTGGAGATTTCAAGCGCTTTGTGGCCAGTGGAAGAAAATGAAATATCTTCGTATAAAAATTACACAGAATCATTCTCAGAAACTACTTTCTGATGTGTGCGTTCAACTCTCGGAGGTTAAACTTTCTTTTCATAGAGCAGTGTGGAAACAGTGTGTTTGTAAAGTCTGCAAGTGGATATTCGGACCTCTTTGGCGCCTTATTTTGAAACGGGGTTTCTCCATATAATGCTAGACAGAAGAATTCTCAATAACTTGTTTGTGTTGTGTGTGTTCAACTCACAGAGTTGAACCTTCCTTTAGACAGAGCAGATTTGAAACACTCTTTTTGTGGAATTTGCAAGTGGAGATTTCAAGCGCTTTGAGGCCAAAGGCAGAAAAGGAAATATCTTCGTATAAAAACTAGATAGATCATTCTCAGAAACTGCTTTGTGATGTGTGCGTTCAACTCACAGAGTTTCACTTATCTTTTCGTACAGCAGTTTGGAAACACTCTGTTTGTAATGTCTGCAAGTGGATATTTTGACCTCTTTGAGGTCTTCGTTGGAAACGGGTTTTATTCATGTAAGGCTAGACAGAAGAATTCTCAGTAACTTCTTTGTATTGTGTGTATTCCACTGACAGAGTTGACCCTTCCTTTAGACAGAGCACATTTGAACCACTCTTTTTGTGGAATTTGCAAGTGGAGATTTCAGACGCATTGAGGTCAACGGTAGAAAAGGAAATATCTTCGTATAAAAACTGTACAGAATGATTCTCAGAACCTGCTTCGTGATGCGTGTGTTCAGTTCAAAGAGTTTTACCTTTCTTTTCATAGAGCAGTTAGGGAACACTCTGTTTGAACAGTCTGAAAGTGGATATTCCGATATCTTTGAGGCCTTCGTTGGAAAAGGGATTTCTTCATATAATGCTAGACAGAGGAATTCTCAGTAACTTCTCTGTGTTGTGTGTATTCAAATCACAGAGTTGAACGTTCCTTTAGACAGAGCAGACTTGAAACACTCTTTTTGTGGAATTTGCAATAGGAAATTTCAAGCACTTTGAGGCCAAAGGCAGAAGAGGAAATATCTTCGTATAAAAGCAAGTCAGAATCATTCTCAGAAACTGCTTAATCATGTGTGCGTTCGACTCACGGAGTTTAACCTACCTTTTCATACAGCAGTTTGGAAACACTCTGTTTGTAAAGTCTGCACGTGGATATTTGGACATCTTTGAGGCCTTCGTTGGAAACGGGTTTTATTCATGTAAGGCTAGACAGAAGATTTCTCAGTAACTTCTTTCTGTTGTGTGTATTCAACTGACAGAGTTGACCCTTCTTTTAGGTAGAGCAGATTTGAGACACTCTTTTTGTGGAATTTGCAAGTGGAGATTTCAGACGCTTTGAGGTCAATGGTAGAAAAGGACATTTCTTCGTATAAAAACTTGACAGAATGATTCTCAGAAACTGCTTTGTGATGTATGCGTTCAATTCAAAGAGTTCTACCTTTCTTTTCATAGAGCACTTAGGAAACACTCTGTTTGTAAAGACTGCAAGTGGATATTCGGACCTCTATGAGGCCTTCTTTGGAAAAGGGATTTCTTCATATAATGCTAGACAGAGGAATTCTTCGTAACTTCTTTGTATTGTGTGTATTCAACTCACAGAGTTGAACCTTCTTTTAGATAGAGCAGATTTGAAACACACTTTCTGTGGAATTTCCAATTGGAGATTTCAAGCGCTTCAGGGCCAATGGTAGAAAAGGAAAAATCTTCACATAAAAACTAGACAAAATCATTCCCAGAAACTGTGTAGTGATGTGTATGTTTAACTCACAGAGTTTATCCTTTCTTTTCATAGAGCAGTTGGGAAACACTCTGTTTGAAAAGTCTGCATGTGGATATTTGGACCGCCATGAGGCGTTCTTTGGAAATGGTATTTCTTCATTTAAGGCTACACAGAAGAAGTCTCAGTAACTTCTTTGTGTTGTGTGTATTCCGCTCACAGAGTTGAACCTTCTTTTAGATAGAGCAGATTTGAAAGACACTTTTTGGGGAATTTGCAAGTGGGGATTTCAAGCGCTTTGAGGCCAACGGTAGAAAAGGAAATATCTTCGAATAAAAAGTAGACAGAATCATTCCCAGAAACTGCGTTTTGATGTGTGCGTTCACGTAACAGAGTTTAACCTTCCTTTTCATAGAGCAGTTGGGAAACGCTATGTTTGTAAAGTCTGCAAGTGGATATTGGGAACTCTTTGAGGCCTTCATTGGGAATGGGGTTTCTTCATATAATGCTAGACAGAAGATTTCCCAGTAACTTCTTCCTGTTGTGTGTATTCAACTGACAACAGATGAACCTTCCTTTAGAGAGAGCAGATTTGAAACACTCTTTTTGTGGAAGTTGCAAGTGGAGATTTCAGCCGCTTTAACGTCAATGGTAGAAAAGGAAATATCTTCGCATAAAAACAAGACAGAATCATTTTCAGAAACTGCTTTGTG
Source organism: Homo sapiens (assembly GCF_000001405.40). Classification (NCBI taxonomy): domain Eukaryota; kingdom Metazoa; phylum Chordata; class Mammalia; order Primates; family Hominidae; genus Homo; species Homo sapiens. Next base: position 47,232,173 of record NC_000005.10, read on the forward strand.
ATGTGTGCATTCAACTCACAGAGTTTAACCTTTGTTTTCCTAGAGCCGTTTGGAAACACACAGTTTGTCAAATCTGTAAGTCGATATTCGGACCTATTTGAGGCCTTCGTTGGAAACGGGATTTCTTCATATAATGCTAGAAAGAAGAATTCTCAGTAACTTCCTTGTGTTGTGTGTAATCAACTCACAGAACAGAACGTTCCTTTAGATAGAGCAGATTTGAAACACTCTTTTTGTGGAAGTTGCACGTGGAGATTTCAAGTGCTTTGTGGCCAGTGGTAGAAAATGAAATATCTTCGTATAAAAAGTACACAGAATCATTCTCAGCAAACTACTTTCTGATGTGTGCGTTCAACTCTCGGAGTTTAAACTTTCTTTTCATAGAGCAGTTTGTAAACAGTGTGTTTGTAAAGTCTGCAAGTGGATATTCGGACCTCTTTGGCGCCTTAATTTGAAACGGGGTTTCTCCCTATAATGCTAGACAGAAGAATTCTCAGTAACTTGTTTGTGTTGTGTGTGTTCAACTTACAGAGTTGAACCTTCCTTTAGACAGAGCAGAATTGAAACGCTCTTTTTGTGGAATTTGCAAGTGGAGATTTCAAGCGCTTTGAGGCCAAAGGCAGAAAAGGAAATATCTTCGTATAAAAACTAGATAGATCATTCTCAGAAACTGCTTTGTGATGTGTGCGTTCAACTCACAGAGTTTCACTTATCTTTTCGTACAGCAGTTTGCAAACACTCTGTTTGTAATGTCTGCAAGTGGATATTTGGACCTCTTTGAGGTCTTCGTTGGAAACGGGTTTTATTCATGTAAGGCTAGACAGAAGAATTCTCAGTAACTTCTTTGTATTGTGTGTATTCCACTGACAGAGTTGACCCTTCCTTTAGACAGAGCACATTTGAACCACTCTTTTTGTGGAATTTGCAAGTGGAGATTTCAGACGCATTGAGGTCAATGGTACAAAAGGAAATATCTTCGTATAAAAACTAGACAGAATGATTCTCAGAACCTGCTTCGTGATGTGTGTGTTCAGTTCAAAGAGTTTTACCTTTCTTTTCATAGAGCAGTTAGGAAACACTCTGTTTGAACAGTCTGAAAGTGGATATTCCGATCTCTTTGAGGCCTTCGTTGGAAAAGGGATTTCTTCATATAATGCTAGACAGAGGAATTCTCAGTAACTTCTCTGTGTTGTGTGTATTCAAATCACAGAGTTGAACGTTCCTTTAGACAGAGCAGACTTGAAACACTCTTTTTGTGGAATTTGCAATAGCAAATTTCAAGCGCTTTGAGGCCAAAGGCAGAAGAGGAAATATCTTCGTATAAAAACAAGTCAGAATCATTCTCAGAAACTGATTTATCATGTGTGCGTTCAACTCACGGAGTTTAACCTACCTTTTCATACAGCAGTTTGGAAACACTCTGTTTGTAAAGTCTGCAAGTGGATATTTGGACTTCTTTGAGACCATCGTTGGAAACGGGTTTTATTCATGTAAGGCTAGACAGAAGATTTCTCAGTAACTTCTTTGTGTTGTGCGTATTCAACTGACAGAGTTGACCCTTCTTTTAGACAGAGCAGATTTGAAACACTCTTTTTGTGGAATTTGCAAGTGGAGATTTCAGACGCTTTGAGGTCAATGGTAGAAAAGGAAATTTCTTCGTATAAAAACTTGACAGAATGATTCTCAGAAACTGCTTTGTGATGTATGCGTTCAATTCAAAGAGTTCTACCTTTCTTTTCATAGAGCACTTAGGAAACACTCTGTTTGTAAAGACTGCAAGTGGATATTCGGACCTCTATGAGGCCTTCTTTGGAAAAGGGATTTCTTCATATAATGCTAGACAGAGGAATTCTTCGTAACTTCTTTGTATTGTGTGTATTCAACTCACAGAGTTGAACCTTCTTTTAGATAGAGCAGATTTGAAACACACTTTTTGTGGAATTTCCAATTGGAGATTTCAAGCGCTTCGGGGCCAATGGTAGAAAAGGAAAAATCTTCACATAAAAACTAGACAAACTCATTCCCAGAAACTGTGTAGTGATGTGTATGTTTAACTCACAGAGTTTATCCTTTCTTTTCATAGAGCAGTTGGGAAACACTCTGTTTGAAAAGTCTGCATGTGGATATTTGGACCGCCATGAGGCGTTCTTTGGAAATGGTATTTCTTCATTTAAGGCTACACAGAAGAATTCTCAGTAACTTCCTTGTGTTGTGTGTATTCAGCTCACAGAGTTGAACCTTCTTTTAGATAGAGCAGATTTGAAAGACACTTTTTGGGGAATTTGCAAGTGGGGATTTCAAGCGCTTTGAGGCCAACGGTAGAAAAGGAAATATCTTCGAATAAAAAGTAGACAGAATCATTCCCAGAAACTGCGTTTTGATGTGTGCGTTCACCTAACAGAGTTTAACCTTCCTTTTCATAGAGCAGTTGGGAAACGCTATGTTTGTAAAGTCTGCAAGTGGATATTGGGAACTCTTTGAGGCCTTCATTGGGAATGGGGTTTCTTCATATAATGCTAGACAGAAGATTTCCCAGTAACTTCTTCCTGTTGTGTGTATTCAACTGACAACAGATGAACCTTCCTTTAGAGAGAGCATATTTGAAACACTCTTTTTGTGGAAGTTGCAAGTGGAGATTTCAGCCGCTTTAACGTCAATGGTAGAAAAGGAAATATCTTCGCATAAAAACAAGACAGAATCATTTTCAGAAACTGCTTTGTGATGTGTGCATTCAACTCACAGAGTTTAACCTTTGTTTTCATAGAGCCGTTTGGAAACACACAGTTTGTCAAATCTGTAAGTCGATATTCGGACCTATTTGAGGCCTTCGTTGGAAACGGGATTTCTTCATATAATGCTAGAAAGAAGAATTCTCAGTAACTTCCTTGTGTTGTGTGTAATCAACACACAGAATAGAACGTTCCTTTAGATAGAGCAGATTTGAAACACTCTTTTTGTGGAAGTTGCACGTGGAGATTTCAAGCGCTTTGTGACCAGTGGTAGAAAATGAAATATCTTCGTATAAAAAGTACACAGAATCATTCTCAGAAACTACTTTCTGATGTGTGCGTTCAACTCTCGGAGTTTAAACTTTCTTTTCATAGAGCAGTTTGGAAACAGTGTGTTTGTAAAGTCTGCAAGTGGATATTCGGACCTCTTTGGCGCCTTATTTTGAAACGGGGTTTCTCCATATAATGCTAGACAGAAGACTTCTCAGTAACTTGTTTGTGTTGTGTGTGTTCAACTCACAGAGTTGAACCTTCCTTTAGACAGAGCAGATTTGAAACACTCTTTTTGTGGAATTTGCAAGTGGAGATTTCAAGCGCTTTGAGGCCAAAGGCAGAAAAGGAAATATCTTCGTATAAAAACTAGATAGTCATTCTCAGAAACTGCTTTGTGATGTGTGCGTTCAACTCACAGAGTTTCACTTATCTTTTCGTACAGCAGTTTGGAAACACTCTGTTTGTAATGTCTGCATGTGGATATTTTGACCTCTTTGAGGTCTTCTTTGGAAACGGGTTTTATTCATGTAAGGCTAGACAGAAGAATTCTCAGTAACTTCTTTGTATTGTGTGTATTCCACTGACAGAGTTGACCCTTCCTTTAGACAGAGCACATTTGAACCACTCTTTTTGTGGAATTTGCAAGTGGAGATTTCAGACGCATTGAGGTCAATGGTAGAAAAGGAAATATCTTCGTATAAAAACTAGACAGAATGATTCTCAGAACCTGCTTCGTCATGTGTGTGTTCAGTTCAAAGAGTTTTACCTTTCTTTTCATAGAGCAGTTAGGAAACACTCTGTTTGAAAAGTCTGAAAGTGGATATTCCGATCTCTTTGAGGCCTTTGTTGGAAAAGGGATTTCTTCATATAATGCTAGACAGAGGAATTCTCAGTAACTTCTCTGTGTTGTGTGTATTCAAATCACAGAGTTGAACGTTCCTTTAGACAGAGCAGACTTGAAACACTCTTTTTGTGGAATTTGCAATAGGAAATTTCAAGCACTTTGAGGCCAAAGGCAGAAGAGGAAATATCTTCGTATAAAAGCAAGTCAGAATCATTCTCAAAAACTGCTTAATCATGTGTGCGTTCGACTCACGGAGTTTAACCTACCTTTTCATACAGCAGTTTGGAAACACTCTGTTTGTAAAGTCTGCACGTGGATATTTGGACATCTTTGAGGCCTTCGTTGGAAACGGGTTTTATTCATGTAAGGCTAGACAGAAGATTTCTCAGTAACTTCTTTCTGTTGTGTGTATTCAACTGACAGAGTTGACCCTTCTTTTAGGTAGAGCAGATTTGAGACACTCTTTTTGTGGAATTTGCAAGTGGAGATTTCAGACGCTTTGAGGTCAATGGTAGAAAAGGACATTTCTTCGTATAAAAACTTGACAGAATGATTCTCAGAAACTGCTTTGTGATGTATGCGTTCAATTCAAAGAGTTCTACCTTTCTTTTCATAGAGCACTTAGGAAACACTCTGTTTGTAAAGACTGCAAGTGGATATTCGGACCTCTATGAGGCCTTCTTTGGAAAAGGGATTTCTTCATATAATGCTAGACAGAGGAATTCTTCGTAACTTCTTTGTATTGTGTGTATTCAACTCACAGAGTTGAACCTTCTTTTAGATAGAGCAGATTTGAAACACACTTTCTGTGGAATTTCCAATTGGAGATTTCAAGCGCTTCGGGGCCAATGGTAGAAAAGGAAAAATCTTCACATAAAAACTAGACAAAATCATTCCCAGAAACTGTGTAGTGATGTGTATGTTTAACTCACAGAGTTTATCCTTTCTTTTCATAGAGCAGTTGGGAAACACTCTGTTTGAAAAGTCTGCATGTGGATATTTGGACCGCCATGAGGCGTTCTTTGGAAATGGTATTTCTTCATTTAAGGCTACACAGAAGAATTCTCAGTAACTTCCTCGTGTTGTGTGTATTCAGCTCACAGAGTTGAACCTTCTTTTAGATAGAGCAGATTTGAAAGACACTTTTTGGGGAATTTGCAAGTGGGGATTTCAAGCGCTTTGAGGCCAACGGTAGAAAAGGAAATATCTTCGAATAAAAAGTAGACAGAATCATTCCCAGAAACTGCGTTTTGATGTGTGCGTTCACCTAACAGAGTTTAACCTTCCTTTTCATAGAGCAGTTGGGAAACGCTATGTTTGTAAAGTCTGCAAGTGGATATTGGGAACTCTTTGAGGCCTTCATTGGGAATGGGGTTTCTTCATATAATGCTAGACAGAAGATGTCCCAGTAACTTCTTCCTGTTGTGTGTATTCAACTGACAACAGATGAACCTTCCTTTAGAGAGAGCAGATTTGAAACACTCTTTTTGTGGAATTTGCAAGTGGAGATTTCAGCCGCTTTAACGTCAATGGTGGAAAAGGAAATATCTTCGCATAAAAACAAGACAGAATCATTTTCAGAAACTGCTTTGTGATGTGTGCATTCAACTCACAGAGTTTAACCTTTGTTTTCATAGAGCCGTTTGGAAACACACAGTTTGTCAAATCTGTAAGTCGATATTCGGACCTATTTGAGGCCTTCGTTGGAAACGGGATTTCTTCATATAATGCTAGAAAGAAGAATTCTCAGTAACTTCCTTGTGTTGTGTGTAATCAACTCACAGAATAGAACGTTCCTTTAGATAGAGCAGATTTGAAACACTCTTTTTGTGGAAGTTGCACGTGGAGATTTCAAGCGCTTTGTGGCCAGTGGTAGAAAATGAAATATCTTCGTATAAAAAGTACACAGAATCATTCTCAGAAACTACTTTCTGATGTGTGCGTTCAACTCTCGGAGTTTAAACTTTCTTTTCATAGAGCAGTTTGGAAACAGTGTGTTTGTAAAGTCTGCAAGGGGATATTCGGACCTCTTTGGCGCGTTATTTTGAAACGGGGTTTCTCCATATAATGCTAGACAGAAGAATTGTCAGTAACTTGTTTGTGTTGTGTGTGTTCAACTCACTGAGTTGAACCTTCCTTTAGACAGAGCAGATTTGAAACACTCTTTTTGTGGAATTTGCAAGTGGAGATTTCAAGCGCTTTGAGGCCAAAGGCAGAAAAGGAAATATCTTCGTATAGAAACTAGATAGTCATTCTCAGAAACTGCTTTGTGATGTGTGCGTTCAACTCACAGAGTTTCACTTATCTTTTCGTACAGCAGTTTGGAAACACTCTGTTTGTAATGTCTGCAAGTGGATATTTTGACCTCTTTGAGGTCTTCGTTGGAAATGGGTTTTATTCATGTAAGGCTAGACAGAAGAATTCTCAGTAACTTCTTTGTATTGTGTGTATTCCACTGACAGAGTTGACCCTTCCTTTAGACAGAGCACATTTGAACCACTCTTTTTGTGGAATTTGCAAGTGGAGATTTCAGACGCATTGAGGTCAATGGTAGAAAAGGAAATATCTTCGTATAAAAACTAGACAGAATGATTCTCAGAACCTGCTTCGTGATGTGTGTGTTCAGTTCAAAGAGTTTTACCTTTCTTTTCATAGAGCAGTTAGGAAACACTCTGTTTGAACAGTCTGAAAGTGGATATTCCGATCTCTTTGAGGCCTTCGTTGGAAAAGGGATTTCTTCATATAATGCTAGACAGAGGAATTCTCAGTAACTTCTCTGTGTTGTGTGTATTCAAATCACAGAGTTGAACGTTCCTTTAGACAGAGCAGACTTGAAACACTCTTTTTGTGGAATTTGCAATAGGAAATTTCAAGCGCTTTGAGGCCAAAGGCAGAAGAGGAAATATCTTCGTAGAAAAACAAGTCAGAATCATTCTCAGAAACTGCTTAATCATGTGTGCGTTCGACTCACGGAGTTTAACCTACCTTTTCATACAGCAGTTTGGAAACACTCTGTTTGTAAAGTCTGCACGTGGATATTTGGACATCTTTGAGGCCTTCGTTGGAAACGGGTTTTATTCATGTAAGGCTAGACCGAAGATTTCTCAGTAACTTGTTTGTGTTGTGTGTATTCACCTGACAGAGTTGACCCTTCTTTTAGGTAGAGCAGATTTGAGACACTCTTTTTGTGGAATTTGCAAGTGGAGATTTCAGACGCTTTGAGGTCAATGGTAGAAAAGGAAATTTCTTCGTATAAAAACTTGACAGAATGATTCTCAGAAACTGCTTTGTGATGTATGCGTTCAATTCAAAGAGTTCTACCTTTCTTTTCATAGAGCACTTAGGAAACACTCTGTTTGTAAAGACTGCAAGTGGATATTCGGACCTCTATGAGGCCTTCTTTGGAAAAGGGATTTCTTCATATAATGCTAGACAGAGGAATTCTTCGTAACTTCTTTGTATTGTGTGTATTCAACTCACAGAGTTGAACCTTCTTTTAGATAGAGCAGATTTGAAACACACTTTCTGTGGAATTTCCAATTGGAGATTTCAAGCGCTTCGGGGCCAATGGTAGAAAAGGAAAAATCTTCACATAAAAACTAGACAAAATCATTCCCAGAAACTGTGTAGTGATGTGTATGTTTAACTCACAGAGTTTAACATTTCTTTTCATAGAGCAGTTGGGAAACGCTCTGTTTGAAAAGTCTGCCTGTGGATATTTGGACCGCCATGAGGCGTTCTTTGGAAATGGTATTTCTTCATTTAAGGCTACACAGAAGAATTCTCAGTAACTTCCTTGTGTTGTGTGTATTCAACTCACAGAGTTGAACGATCCTTTACACTGAGCAGACTTGAAACACTCTTTTTGTGGAATTTGCAAGTGGAGATTTCTGCCGCTTTGAGGTCAATGGTAGAAAAGGAAATATCTTCGTACAGAAACTAGACAGAATGATTCTCAGAACCTGCTTCGTGATGTGTGTGTTCAGTTCAAAGAGTTTTACCTTTCTTTTCATAGAGCAGTTAGGAAACACTCTGTTTGAACAGTCTGAAAGTGGATATTACGTTCTCTTTGAGGCCTTCGTTGGAAAAGGGATTTCTTCATATAATGCTAGACAGAGGAATTCTCAGTAACTTCTCTGTGTTGTGTGTATTCAAATCACAGACTTGAACGTTCCTTTAGACAGAGCAGACTTGAAACACTCTTTTTGTGGAATTTGCAATAGCAAATTTCAAGCGCTTTGAGGCCAAAGGCAGAAGAGGAAATATCTTCGTATAAAAACAAGTCAGAATCATTCTCAGAAACTGCTTAATCATGTGTGCGTTCGACTCACGGAGTTTAACCTACCTTTTCATACAGCAGTTTGGAAACACTCTGTTTGTAAAGTCTGCACGTGGATATTTGGACATCTTTGAGGCCTTCGTTGGAAACGGGTTTTATTCATGTAAGGCTAGACAGAAGATTTCTCAGTAACTTCTTTGTGTTGTGTGTATTCAACTGACAGAGTTGACCCTTCTTTTAGGTAGAGCAGATTTGACACACTCTTTTTGTGGAATTTGCAAGTGGAGATTTCAGACGCTTTGAGGTCAATGGTAGAAAAGGACATTTCTTCGTATAAAAACTTGACAGAATGATTCTCAGAAACTGCTTTGTGATGTATGCGTTCAATTCAAAGAGTTCTACCTTTCTTTTCATAGAGCACTTAGGAAACACTCTGTTTGTAAAGACTGCAAGTGGATATTCGGACCTCTATGAGGCCTTCTTTGGAAAAGGGATTTCTTCATATAATGCTAGACAGAGGAATTCTTCGTAACTTCTTTGTATTGTGTGTATTCAACTCACAGAGTTGAACCTTCTTTTAGATAGAGCAGATTTGAAACACACTTTCTGTGGAATTTCCAATTGGAGATTTCAAGCGCTTCAGGGCCAATGGTAGAAAAGGAAAAATCTTCACATAAAAACTAGACAAAATCATTCCCAGAAACTGTGTAGTGATGTGTATGTTTAACTCACAGAGTTTATCCTTTCTTTTCATAGAGCAGTTGGGAAACACTCTGTTTGAAAAGTCTGCATGTGGATATTTGGACCGCCATGAGGCGTTCTTTGGAAATGGTATTTCTTCATTTAAGGCTACACAGAAGAATTCTCAGTAACTTCCTTGTGTTGTGTGTATTCAGCTCACAGAGTTGAACCTTCTTTTAGATAGAGCAGATTTGAAAGACACTTTTTGGGGAATTTGCAAGTGGGGATTTCAAGCGCTTTGAGGCCAACGGTAGAAAAGGAAATATCTTCGAATAAAAAGTAGACAGAATCATTCCCAGAAACTGCGTTTTGATGTGTGCGTTCACCTAACAGAGTTTAACCTTCCTTTTCATAGAGCAGTTGGGAAACGCTATGTTTGTAAAGTCTGCAAGTGGATATTGGGAACTCTTTGAGGCCTTCATTGGGAATGGGGTTTCTTCATATAATGCTAGACAGAAGATTTGCCCGTAACTTCTTCCTGTTGTGTGTATTCAACTGACAACAGATGAACCTTCCTTTAGAGAGAGCAGATTTGAAACACTCTTTTTGTGGAATTTGCAAGTGGAGATTTCAGCCGCTTTAACGTCAATGGTAGAAAAGGAAATATCTTCGCATAAAAACAAGACAGAATCATTTTCAGAAACTGCTTTGTGATGTGTGCATTCAACTCACAGAGTTTAACCTTTGTTTTCATAGAGCCGTTTGGAAACACACAGTTTGTCTAACCTATAAGTCGATATTCGGACCTATTTGAGGCCTTCGTTGGAAACGGGATTTCTTCATATAATGCTAGAAAGAAGAATTCTCAGTAACTTCCTAGTGTTGTGTGTAATCAACTCACAGAATAGAACGTTCCTTTAGATAGAGCAGATTTGAAACACTCTTTTTGTGGAAGTTGCACGTGGAGATTTCAAGCGCTTTGTGGCCAGTGGTAGAAAATGAAATATCTTCGTATAAAAAGTACACAGAATCATTCTCAGAAACTACTTTCTGATGTGTGCGTTCAACTCTCGGAGTTTAAACTTTCTTTTCATAGAGCAGTTTGGAAACAGTGTGTTTGTAAAGTCTGCAAGTGGATATTCGACCTCTTTGGCGCCTTATTTTGAAACGGGGTTTCTCCATATAATGCTAGACAGAAGAATTCTCAGTAACTTGTTTGTGTTGTGTGTGTTCAACTCACAGAGTTGAACCTTCCTTTAGAGAGAGCAGATTTGAAACACTCTTTTTGTGGAATTTGCAAGTGGAGATTTCAAGCTCTTTGAGGCCAAAGGCAGAAAAGGAAATATCTTCGTATAAAAACTAGATAGATCATTCTCAGAAACTGCTTTGTGATGTGTGCGTTCAACTCACAGAGTTTCACTTATCTTTTCGTACAGTAGTTTGGAAACACTCTGTTTGTAATGTCTGCAAGTGGATATTTTGACCTCTTTGAGGTCTTCGTTGGAAACGGGTTTTATTCATGTAAGGCTAGACAGAAGAATTCTCAGTAACTTCTTTGTATTGTGTGTATTCCACTGACAGAGTTGACCCTTCCTTTAGACAGAGCACATTTGAACCACTCTTTTTGTGGAATTTGCAAGTGGAGATTTCAGACGCATTGAGGTCAATGGTAGAAAAGGAAATATCTTCGTATAAAGACTGTACAGAATGATTCTCAGAACCTGCTTCGTGATGTGTGTGTTCAGTTCAAAGAGTTTTACCTTTCTTTTCATAGAGCAGTTAGGAAACACTCTGTTTGAACAGTCTGAAAGTGGATATTCCGATCTCTTTGAGGCCTTTGTTGGAAAAGGGATTTCTTCATATAATGCTAGACAGAGGAATTCTCAGTAACTTCTCTGTGATGTCTGTATTCAAATCACAGAGTTGAACGTTCCTTTAGACAGAGCAGACTTGAAACACTCTTTTTGTGGAATTTGCAATAGGAAATTTCAAGCGCTTTGAGGCCAAAGGCAGAAGAGGAAGTATCTTCGTATAAAAAAAAGTCAGAATCATTCTCAGAAACTGCTTTATCATGTGTGCGTTCAACTCACGGAGTTTAACCTACCTTTGCATACAGCAGTTTGGAAACACTCTGTTTGTAAAGTCTGCACGTGGATATTTGGATATCTTTGAGGCCTTCGTTGGAAACGGGTTTTACTCATGTAAGGCTAGACAGAAGATTTCTCAGTAACTTCTTTGTGTTGTGTGTATTCAACTGACAGAGTTGACCCTTCTTTTAGGTAGAGCAGATTTGAGACACTCTTTTTGTGGAATTTGTAAGTGGAGATTTCAGACGCTTTGAGGTCAATGGTAGAAAAGGACATTTCTTCGTATAAAAACTTGACAGAATGATTCTCAGAAACTGCTTTGTGATGTATGCGTTCAATTCAAAGAGTTCTACCTTTCTTTTCATAGAGCACTTAGGAAACACTCTGTTTGTTAAGACTGCAAGTGGATATTCGGACCTCTATGAGGCCTTCTTTGGAAAAGGGATTTCTTCATATAATGCTAGACAGAGGAATTCTTCGTAACTTCTTTGTATTGTGTGTATTCAACTCACAGAGTTGAACCTTCTTTTAGATAGAGCAGATTTGAAACACACTTTTTGTGGAATTTCCAATTGGAGATTTCAAGCGCTTCGGGGCCAATGGTAGAAAAGGAAAAATCTTCACATAAAAACTAGACAAACTCATTCCCAGAACCGGTGTAGTGATGTGTATGTTTAACTCACAGAGTTTATCCTTTCTTTTCATAGAGCAGTTGGGAAACACTCTGTTTGAAAAGTCTGCATGTGGATATTTGGACCGCCATGAGGCGTTCTTTGGAAATGGTGTTTCTTCATTTAAGGCTACACAGAAGAATTCTCAGTAACTTCCTCGTGTTGTGTGTATTCAGCTCACAGAGTTGAACCTTCTTTTAGATAGAGCAGATTTGAAAGACACTTTTTGGGGAATTTGCAAGTGGGGATTTCAAGCGCTTTGAGGCCAACGGTAGAAAAGGAAATATCTTCGAATAAAAAGTAGACAGAATCATTCCCAGAAACTGCGTTTTGATGTGTGCGTTCACCTAACAGAGTTTAACCTTCCTTTTCATAGAGCAGTTGGGAAACGCTATGTTTGTAAAGTCTGCAAGTGGATATTGGGAACTCTTTGAGGCCTTCATTGGGAATGGGGTTTCTTCATATAATGCTAGACAGAAGATTTCCCAGTAACTTCTTCCTGTTGTGTGTATTCAACTGACAACAGATGAACCTTCCTTTAGAGAGAGCAGATTTGAAACACTCTTTTTGTGGAATTTGCAAGTGGAGATTTCAGCCGCTTTAACGTCAATGGTAGAAAAGGAAATATCTTCGCATAAAAACAAGACAGAATCATTTTCAGAAACTGCTTTGTGATGTGTGCATTCAACTCACAGAGATTAACCTTTGTTTTCCTAGAGCCGTTTGGAAACACACAGTTTGTCAAATCTGTAAGTCGATATTCGGACCTATTTGAGGCCTTCGTTGGAAACGGGATTTCTTCATATAATGCTAGAAAGAAGAATTCTCAGTAACTTCCTTGTGTTGTGTGTAATCAACTCAAATAGAACGTTCCTTTAGATAGAGCAGATTTGAAACACTCTTTTTGTGGAAGTTGCACGTGGAGATTTCAAGCGCTTTGTGGCCAGTGGTAGAAAATGAAATATCTTCGTATAAAAAGTACACAGAATCATTCTCAGAAACTACTTTCTGATGTGTGCGTTCAACTCTCGGAGGTTAAACTTTCTTTTCATAGAGCAGTTTGGAAACAGTGTGTTTGTAAAGTCTGCAAGTGGATATTCGGACCTCTTTGGCGCCTTAATTTGAAACGGGGTTTCTCCCTATAATGCTAGACAGAAGAATTCTCAGTAACTTGTTTGTGTTGTGTGTGTTCAACTCACAGAGTTGAACCTTCCTTTAGACAGAGCAGATTTGAAACACTCTTTTTGTGGAATTTGCAAGTGGAGATTTCAAGCGCTTTGAGGCCAAAGGCAGAAAAGGAAATATCTTCGTATAAAAACTAGATAGTCATTCTCAGAAACTGCTTTGTGATGTGTGCGTTCAACTCACAGAGTTTCACTTATCTTTTCGTACAGCAGCTTGGAAACACTCTGTTTGTAATGTCTGCAAGTGGATATTTTGACCTCTTTTAGGTCTTCGTTGGAAACGGGTTTTATTCATGTAAGGCTAGACAGAAGAATTCTCAGTAACTTCTTTATATTGTGTGTATTCCACTGACAGAGTTGACCCTTCCTTTAGACAGAGCACATTTGAACCACTCTTTTTGTGGAATTTGCAAGTGGAGATTTCAGACGCATTGAGGTCAATGGTAGAAAAGGAAATATCTTCGTATAAAAACTAGACAGAATGATTCTCAGAACCTGCTTCGTGATGTGTGTGTTCAGTTCAAAGAGTTTTACCTTTCTTTTCATAGAGCAGTTAGGAAACACTCTGTTTGAACAGTCTGAAAGTGGATATTCCGATCTCTTTGAGGCCTTCGTTGGAAAAGGGATTTCTTCATATAATGCTAGACAGAGGAATTCTCAGTAACTTCTCTGTGTTGTGTGTATTCAAATCACAGAGTTGAACGTTCCTTTAGACAGAGCAGACTTGAAACACTCTTTTTGTGGAATTTGCAATAGGAAATTTCAAGCGCTTTGAGGCCAAAGGCAGAAGAGGAAATATCTTCGTATAAAAACAAGTCAGAATCATTCTCAAAAACTGCTTAATCATGTGTGCGTTCGACTCACGGAGTTTAACCTACCTTTTCATACAGCAGTTTGGAAACACTCTGTTTGTAAAGTCTGCACGTGGATATTTGGACATCTTTGAGGCCTTCGTTGGAAACGGGTTTTATTCATGTAAGGCTAGACAGAAGATTTCTCAGTAACTTCTTTCTGTTGTGTGTATTCAACTGACAGAGTTGACCCTTCTTTTAGGTAGAGCAGATTTGAGACACTCTTTTTGTGGAATTTGCAAGTGGAGATTTCAGACGCTTTGAGGTCAATGGTAGAAAAGGACATTTCTTCGTATAAAAACTTGACAGAATGATTCTCAGAAACTGCTTTGTGATGTATGCGTTCAATTCAAAGAGTTCTACCTTTCTTTTCATAGAGCACTTAGGAAACACTCTGTTTGTAAAGACTGCAAGTGGATATTCGGACCTCTATGAGGCCTTCTTTGGAAAAGGGATTTCTTCATATAATGCTAGACAGAGGAATTCTTCGTAACTTCTTTGTATTGTGTGTATTCAACTCACAGAGTTGAACCTTCTTTTAGATAGAGCAGATTTGAAACACACTTTTTGTGGAATTTCCAATTGGAGATTTCAAGTGCTTCGGGGCCAGTGGTAGAAAAGGAAAAATCTTCACATAAAAACTAGACAAACTCATTCCCAGAACCGGTGTAGTGATGTGTATGTTTAACTCACAGAGTTTATCCTTTCTTTTCATAGAGCAGTTGGGAAACACTCTGTTTGAAAAGTCTGCATGTGGATATTTGGACCGCCATGAGGCGTTCTTTGGAAATGGTATTTCTTCATTTAAGGCTACACAGAAGAATTCTCAGTAACTTCCTTGTGTTGTGTGTATTCAGCTCACAGAGTTGAACCTTCTTTTAGATAGAGCAGATTTGAAAGACACTTTTTGGGGAATTTGCAAGTGGGGATTTCAAGCGCTTTGAGGCCAACGGTAGAAAAGGAAATATCTTCGAATAAAAAGTAGACAGAATCATTCCCAGAAACTGCGTTTTGATGTGTGCGTTCACCTAACAGAGTTTAACCTTCCTTTTCATAGAGCAGTTGGGAAACGCTATGTTTGTAAAGTCTGCAAGTGGATATTGGGAACTCTTTGAGGCCTTCATTGGGAATGGGGTTTCTTCATATAATGCTAGACAGAAGATTTCCCAGTAACTTCTTCCTGTTGTGTGTATTCAACTGACAACAGATGAACCTTCCTTTAGAGAGAGCAGATTTGAAACACTCTTTTTGTGGAAGTTGCACGTGGAGATTTCAAGCGCTTTGTGGCCAGTGGTAGAAAATGAAATATCTTCATATAAAAAGTACACAGAATCATTCTCAGAAACTACTTTCTGATGTGTGCGTTCAACTCTCGGAGTTTAAACTTTCTTTTCATAGAGCAGTTTGGAAACAGTGTGTTTGTAAAGTCCGCAAGTGGATATTCGGACCTCTTTGGCGCCTTATTTTGAAACGGGGTTTCTCCATATAATGCTAGACAAAAGAATTCTCAATAACTTGTTTGTGTTGTGTGTGTTCAACTCACAGAGTTGAATCTTCTTTTAGACAGAGCAGATTTGAAACACTCTTTTTGTGGAATTTGCAAGTGGAGATTTCAAGCGCTTTGAGGCCAAAGGCAGAAAAGGAAATATCTTCGTATAAAAACTAGATAGATCATTCTCAGAAACTGCTTTGTGATGTGTGCGTTCAACTCACAGAGTTTCACTTATCTTTTCGTACAGCAGTTTGGAAACACTCTGTTTGTAATGTCTGCATGTGGATATTTTGACCTCTTTGAGGTCTTCTTTGGAAACGGGTTTTATTCATGTAAGGCTAGACAGAAGAATTCTCAGTAACTTCTTTGTATTGTGTGTATTCCACTGACAGAGTTGACCCTTCCTTTAGACAGAGCACATTTGAACCACTCTTTTTGTGGAATTTGCAAGTGGAGATTTCAGACGCATTGAGGTCAATGGTAGAAAAGGAAATATCTTCGTATAAAAACTGTACAGAATGATTCTCAGAACCTGCTTCGTCATGTGTGTGTTCAGTTCAAAGAGTTTTACCTTTCTTTTCATAGAGCAGTTAGGAAACACTCTGTTTGAAAAGTCTGAAAGTGGATATTCCGATCTCTTTGAGGCCTTCGTTGGAAAAGGGATTTCTTCATATAATGCTAGACAGAGGAATTCTCAGTAACTTCTCTGTGTTGTGTGTATTCAAATCACAGAGTTGAACGTTCCTTTAGACAGAGCAGACTTGAAACACTCTTTTTGTGGAATTTGCAATAGGAAATTTCAAGCGCTTTGAGGCCAAAGGCAGAAGAGGAAATATCTTCGTATAAAAACAAGTCAGAATCATTCTCAGAAACTGCTTAATCATGTGTGCGTTCGACTCACGGAGTTTAACCTACCTTTTAATACAGCAGTTTGGAAACACTCTGTTTGTAAAGTCTGCACGTGGATATTTGGACATCTTTGAGGCCTTCGTTGGAAACGGGTTTTATTCATGTAAGGCTAGACAGAAGATTTCTCAGTAACTTCTTTGTGTTGTGTGTATTCAACTGACAGAGTTGACCCTTCTTTTAGGTAGAGCAGATTTGAACCACTCTTTATGTGGAATTTGCAAGTGGAGATTTCAGACGCTTTGAGGTCAATGGTAGAAAAGGAAATTTCTTCGTATAAAAACTTGACAGAATGATTCTCAGAAACTGCTTCGTGATGTATGCATTCAATTCAAAGAGTTCTACCTTTCTTTTCATAGAGCACTTAGGAAACACTCTGTTTGTAAAGACTGCAAGTGGATATTCGGACCTCTATGAGGCCTTCTTTGGAAAAGGGATTTCTTCATATAATGCTAGACAGAGGAATTCTTCGTAACTTCTTTGTATTGTGTGTATTCAACTCACAGAGTTGAACCTTCTTTTAGATAGAGCAGATATGAAACACACTTTTTGTGGAATTTCCAATTGGAGATTTCAAGCGCTTCGGGGCCAATGGTAGAAAAGGAAAAATCTTCACATAAAAACTAGACAAACTCATTCCCAGAACCGGTGTAGTGATGTGTATGTTTAACTCACAGAGTTTATCCTTTCTTTTCATAGTGCAGTTGGGAAACACTCTGTTTGAAAAGTCTGCATGTGGATATTTGGACCGCCATGAGGCGTTCTTTGGAAATGGTATTTCTTCATTTAAGGCTACAAAGAAGAATTCTCAGTAACTTCCTTGTGTTGTGTGTATTCAGCTCACAGAGTTGAACCTTCTTTTAGATAGAGCAGATTTGAAAGTCACTTTTTGGGGAATTTGCAAGTGGGGATTTCAAGCGCTTTGAGGCCAACGGTAGAAAAGGAAATATCTTCGAATAAAAAGTAGACAAAATCATTCCCAGAAACTGCGTTTTGATGTGTGCGTTCACCTAACAGAGTTTAACCTTCCTTTTCATAGTGCAGTTGGGAAACGCTATGTTTGTAAAGTCTGCAAGTGGATATTGGGAACTCTTTGAGGCCTTCATTGGGAATGGGGTTTCTTCATATAATGCTAGACAGAAGATTTCCCAGTAACTTCTTCCTGTTGTGTGTATTCAACTGACAAGAGATGAACCTTCCTTTAGAGAGAGCAGATTTGAAACACTCTTTTTGTGGAATTTGCAAGTGGAGATTTCAGCCGCTTTAACGTCAATGGTAGAAAAGGAAATATCTTCGCATAAAAACAAGACAGAATCATTTTCAGAAACTGCTTTGTGATGTGTGCATTCAACTCACAGAGATTAACCTTTGTTTTCCTAGAGCCGTTTGGAAACACACAGTTTGTCAAATCTGTAAGTCGATATTCGGACCTATTTGAGGCCTTCGTTGGAAACGGGATTTCTTCATATAATGCTAGAAAGAAGAATTCTCAGTAACTTCCTTGTGTTGTGTGTTATCAACTCACAGAATGGAAACTTCCTTTAGATAGAGCAGATTTGAAACACTCTTTTTGTGGAAGTTGCACGTGGAGATTTCAAGCGCTTTGTGGCCAGTGGTAGAATATGAAATATCTTTGTATAAAAAGTACACAGAATCATTCTCAGAAACTACTTTCTGATGTGTGCGTTCAACTCTCGGAGTTTAAACTTTCTTTTCATAGAGCAGTTTGGAAACAGTGTGTTTGTAAAGTCTGCAAGTGGATATTCGGACCTCTTTAGCGCCTTATTTTGAAACGGGGTTTCTCCATATAATGCTAGACAGAAGAATTCTCAGTAACTTCTTTGTGTTGTGTTTATTCAACTCACAGAGTTGAACCTTCCTTTAGACAGAGCAGATTTGAAACACTCTTTTTGTGGAATTTGCAAGTGGAGATTTCAAGCGCTTTGAGGCCAATGGTAGAAAAGAATAATCTTCGTATAAAAACTAGACAGAATCATTCTCAGAAACTGGTTTGTGATGTGTGCGTTCAACTCACAGAGTTTCACTTATCTTTTCGTACAGCAGTTTGGACACACTCTGTTTGTAATGTCTGCAAGTGGATATTTTGACCTCTTTGAGGTCTTCATTGGAAACGGGTTTTATTCATGTAAGGCTAGACAGAAGAATTCTCAGTAACTTCTTTGTATTGTGTGTATTCCACTGACAGAGTTGACCCTTCCTTTAGACAGAGCACATTTGAACCACTCTTTTTGTGGAATTTGCAAGTGGAGATTTCAGACGCATTGAGGTCAATGGTAGAAAAGGAAATATCTTCGTATAAAAACTAGACAGAATGATTCTCAGAACCTGCTTCGTGATGTGTGTGTTCAGTTCAAAGAGTTTTACCTTTCTTTTCATAGAGCAGTTAGGAAACACTCTGTTTGAACAGTCTGAAAGTGGATATTCCGATCTCTTTGAGGCCTTCGTTGGAAAAGGGATTTCTCCATATAATGCTAGACAGACGAATTCTCAGTAACTTCTCTGTGTTGTGTGTATTCAAATCACAGAGTTGAACGTTCCTTTAGACAGAGCAGACTTGAAACACTCTTTTTGTGGAATTTGCAATAGCAAATTTCAAGCGCTTTGAGGCCAAAGGCAGAAGAGGAAATATCTTCGTATAAAAACAAGTCAGAATCATTCTCAGAAACTGCTTAATCATGTGTGCGTTCGACTCACGGAGTTTAACCTACCTTTTCATACAGCAGTTTGGAAACACTCTGTTTGTAAAGTCTGCACGTGGATATTTGGACATCTTTGAGGCCTTCGTTGGAAACGGGTTTTATTCATGTAAGGCTAGACAGAAGATTTCTCAGTAACTTCTTTGTGTTGTGTGTATTCAACTGACAGAGTTGACCCTTCTTTTAGGTAGAGCAGATTTGAGACACTCTTTTTGTGGAATTTGCAAGTGGAGATTTCAGACGCTTTGAGGTCAATGGTAGAAAAGGACATTTCTTCGTATAAAAACTTGACAGAATGATTCTCAGAAACTGCTTTGTGATGTATGCGTTCAATTCAAAGAGTTCTACCTTTCTTTTCATAGAGCACTTAGGAAACACTCTGTTTGTAAAGACTGCAAGTGGATATTCGGACCTCTATGAGGCCTTCTTTGGAAAAGGGATTTCTTCATATAATGCTAGACAGAGGAATTCTTCGTAACTTCTTTGTATTGTGTGTATTCAACTCACAGAGTTGAACCTTCTTTTAGATAGAGCAGATTTGAAACACACTTTCTGTGGAATTTCCAATTGGAGATTTCAAGTGCTTCGGGGCCAATGGTAGTAAAGGTAAAATCTTCACATAAAAACTAGACAAAATAATTCCCAGAAACTGTGTACTGATGTGTGTGTTTAACTCACAGAGTTTAACCTTTCTTTTCATAGAGCAGTTGGGAAACACTCTGTTTGAAAAGTCTGTATGTGGATATTTGGACCGCCATGAGGCGTTCTTTGGAAATGGTATTTCTTCATTTAAGGCTATAGAGAAGAATTCTCAGTAACTTCCTTGTGTTGTGTGTATTCAGCTCACAGAGTTGAACCTTCTTTTAGATAGAGCAGATTTGAAAGACACTTTTTGGGGAATTTGCAAGTGGGGATTTCAAGCGCTTTGAGGCCAACGGTAGAAAAGGAAATATCTTCGAATAAAAAGTAGACAGAATCATTCCCAGAAACTGCGTTTTGATGTGTGCGTTCACCTAACAGAGTTTAACCTTCCTTTTCATAGAGCAGTTGGGAAACGCTATGTTTGTAAAGTCTGCAAGTGGATATTGGGAACTCTTTGAGGCCTTCATTGGGAATGGGGTTTCTTCATATAATGCTAGACAGAAGATTTCCCAGTAACTTCTTCCTGTTGTGTGTATTCAACTGACAACAGATGAACCTTCCTTTAGAGAGAGCATATTTGAAACACTCTTTTTGTGGAAGTTGCAAGTGGAGATTTCAGCCGCTTTAACGTCAATGGTAGAAAAGGAAATATCTTCGCATAAAAACAAGACAGAATCATTTTCAGAAACTGCTTTGTGATGTGTGCATTCAACTCACAGAGTTTAACCTTTGTTTTCATAGAGCCGTTTGGAAACACACAGTTTGTCAAATCTGTAAGTCGATATTCGGACCTATTTGAGGCCTTCGTTGGAAACGGGATTTCTTCATATAATGCTAGAAAGAAGAATTCTCAGTAACTTCCTTGTGTTGTGTGTAATCAACTCACAGAATAGAACGTTCCTTTAGATAGAGCAGATTTGAAACACTCTTTTTGTGGAAGTTGCACGTGGAGATTTCAAGCGCTTTGTGGCCAGTGGTAGAAAATGAAATATCTTCGTATAAAAAGTACACAGAATCATTCTCAGAAACTACTTTCTGATGTGTGCGTTCAACTCTCGGAGTTTAAACTTTCTTTTCATAGAGCAGTTTGGAAACAGTGTGTTTGTAAAGTCTGCAAGTGGATATTCGGACCTCTTTGGCGCCTTATTTTGAAACGGGGTTTCTCCATATAATGCTAGACAGAAGAATTCTCAGTAACTTGTTTGTGTTGTGTGTGTTCAACTCACAGAGTTGAACCTTCCTTTACACAGAGCAGATTTGAAACACTCTTTTTGTGGAATTTGCAAGTGGAGACTTCAAGCGCTTTGAGGCCAAAGGCAGAAAAGGAAATATCTTCGTATAAAAACTAGATAGTCATTCTCAGAAACTGCTTTGTGATGTGTGCGTTCAACTCACAGAGTTTCACTTATCTTTTCGTACAGCAGTTTGGAAACACTCTGTTTGTAATGTCTGCAAGTGGATATTTTGAACTCTTTGAGGTCTTCGTTGGAAACGGGTTTTATTCATGTAAGGCTAGACAGAAGAATTCTCAGTAACTTCTTTGTATTGTGTGTATTCCACTGACAGAGTTGACCCTTCCTTTAGACAGAGCACATTTGTACCACTCTTTTTGTGGAATTTGCAAGTGGAGATTTCAGACGCATTGAGGTCAATGGTAGAAAAGGAAATATCTTCGTATAAAAACTAGACAGAATGATTCTCAGAACCTGCTTCGTGATGCGTGTGTTCAGTTCAAAGAGTTTTACCTTTCTTTTCATAGAGCAGTTAGGGAACACTCTGTTTGAACAGTCTGAAAGTGGATATTCCGATATCTTTGAGGCCTTCGTTGGAAAAGGGATTTCTTCATATAATGCTAGACAGGGGAATTCTCAGTAACTTCTCTGTGATGTGTGTATTCAAATCACAGAGTTGAACGTTCCTTTAGACAGAGCAGACTTGAAACACTCTTTTTGTGGAATGTGCCATAGGAAATTTCAAGTGCTTTGAGGCCAAAGGCAGAAGAGGAAATATCTTCGTATAAAAAAAAGTCAGAATCATTCTCAGAAACTGCTTTATCATGTGTGCGTTCAACTCACGGAGTTTAACCTACCTTTTCATACAGCAGTTTGGAAACACTCTGTTTGTAAAGTCTGCACGTGGATATTTGGATATCTTTGAGGCCTTCGTTGGAAACGGGTTTTACTCATGTAAGGCTAGACAGAAGATTTCTCAGTAACTTCTTTGTGTTGTGTGTATTCAACTGACAGAGTTGACCCTTCTTTTAGGTAGAGCAGATTTGAGACACTCTTTTTGTGGAATTTGCAAGTGGAGATTTCAGACGCTTTGAGGTCAATGGTAGAAAAGGACATTTCTTCGTATAAAAACTTGACAGAATGATTCTCAGAAACTGCTTTGTGATGTATGCGTTCAATTCAAAGAGTTCTACCTTTCTTTTCATAGAGCACTTAGGAAACACTCTGTTTGTAAAGACTGCAAGTGGATATTCGGACCTCTATGAGGCCTTCTTTGGAAAAGGGATTTCTTCATATAATGCTAGACAGAGGAATTCTTCGTAACTTCTTTGTATTGTGTGTATTCAACTCACAGAGTTGAACCTTCTTTTAGATAGAGCAGATTTGAAACACACTTTTTGTGGAATTTCCAATTGGAGATTTCAAGCGCTTCGGGGCCAATGGTAGAAAAGGAAAAATCTTCACATAAAAACTAGACAAACTCATTCCCAGAAACTGTGTAGTGATGTGTATGTTTAACTCACAGAGTTTATCCTTTCTTTTCATAGAGCAGTTGGGAAACACTCTGTTTGAAAAGTCTGCATGTGGATATTTGGACCGCCATGAGGCGTTCTTTGGAAATGGTATTTCTTCATTTAAGGCTACAAAGAAGAATTCTCAGTAACTTCTTTGTGTTGTGTGTATTCCGCTCACAGAGTTGAACCTTCTTTTAGATAGAGCAGATTTGAAAGACACTTTTTGGGGAATTTGCAAGTGGGGATTTCAAGCGCTTTGAGGCCAACGGTAGAAAAGGAAATATCTTCGAATAAAAAGTAGACAGAATCATTCCCAGAAACTGCGTTTTGATGTGTGCGTTCACCTAACAGAGTTTAACCTTCCTTTTCATAGAGCAGTTGGGAAACGCTATGTTTGTAAAGTCTGCAAGTGGATATTGGGAACTCTTTGAGGCCTTCATTGGGAATGGGGTTTCTTCATATAATGCTAGACAGAAGATTTCCCAGTAACTTCTTCCTGTTGTGTGAATTCAACTGACAACAGATGAACCTTCCTTTAGAGAGAGCAGATTTGAAACACTCTTTTTGTGGAATTTGCAAGTGGAGATTTCAGCCGCTTTAACGTCAATGGTAGAAAAGGAAATATCTTCGCATAAAAACAAGACAGAATCATTTTCAGAAACTGCTTTGTGATGTGTGCATTCAACTCACAGAGTTTAACCTTTGTTTTCATAGAGCCGTTTGGAAACACACAGTTTGTCAAATCTGTAAGTCGATATTCGGACCTATTTGAGGCCTTCGTTGGAAACGGGATTTCTTCATATAATGCTAGAAAGAAGATTTCCCAGTAACTTCTTCCTGTTGTGTATATTCAACTGACAACAGATGAACCTTCCTTTAGAGAGAGCAGATTTGAAACACTCTTTTTGTGGAAGTTGCACGTGGAGATTTCAAGAGCTTTGTGGCCAGTGGTAGAAAATGAAATATCTTCATATAAAAAGTACACAGAATCATTCTCAGAAACTACTTTCTGATGTGTGCGTTCAACTCTCGGAGTTTAAACTTTCTTTTCATAGAGCAGTTTGGAAACAGTGTGTTTGTAAAGTCCGCAAGTGGATATTCGGACCTCTTTGGTGCCTTATTTTGAAACGGGGTTTCTCCATATAATGCTAGACAAAAGAATTCTCAGTAACTTGTTTGTGTTGTGTGTGTTCAACTCACAGAGTTGAACCTTCCTTTAGACAGAGCAGATTTGAAACACTCTTTTTGTGGAATTTGCAAGTGGAGATTTCAAGCGCTTTGAGGCCAAAGGCAGAAAAGGAAATATCTTCGTATAAAAACTAGATAGATCATTCTCAGAAACTGCTTTGTGATGTGTGCGTTCAACTCACAGAGTTTCACTTCTCTTTTCGTACAGCTGTTTGCAAACACTCTGTTTGTAATGTCTGCAAGTGGATATTTTGACCTCTTTGAGGTCTTCGTTGGAAACGGGTTTTATTCATGTAAGGCTAGACAGAAGAATTCTCAGTAACTTCTTTGTATTGTGTGTATTCCACTGACAGAGTTGACCCTTTCTTTAGACAGAGCACATTTGAACCACTCTTTTTGTGGAATTTGCAAGTGGAGATTTCAGACGCATTGAGGTCAATGGTAGAAAAGGAAATATCTTCGTATAAAAACTAGACAGAATGATTCTCAGAACCTGCTTCGTGATGTGTGTGTTCAGTTCAAAGAGTTTTACCTTTCTTTTCATAGAGCAGTTAGGAAACACTCTGTTTGAACAGTCTGAAAGTGGATATTCCGATCTCTTTGAGGCCTTTGTTGGAAAAGGGATTTCTTCATATAATGCTAGACAGACGAATTCTCAGTAACTTCTCTGTGTTGTGTGTATTCAAATCACAGAGTTGAACGTTCCTTTAGACAGAGCAGACTTGAAACACTCTTTTTGTGGAATTTGCAATAGCAAATTTCAAGCGCTTTGAGGCCAAAGGCAGAAGAGGAAATATTCTTCGTATAAAAACAAGTCAGAATCATTCAAAGAAACTGCTTTATCATGTGTGCGTTCAACTCACGGAGTTTAACCTACCTTTTCATACAGCAGTTTGGAAACACTCTGTTTGTAAAGTCTGCAAGTGGATATTTGGACATCTTTGGGGCCTTCGTTGGAAACGGGTTTTATTCATGTAAGGCTAGACAGAAGATTTCTCAGTAACTTGTTTGTGTTGTGTGTATTCAACTGACAGAGTTGACCCTTCTTTTAGGTAGAGCAGATTTGAGACACTCTTTTTGTGGAATTTGCAAGTGGAGATTTCAGACGCTTTGAGGTCAATGGTAGAAAAGGACATTTCTTCGTATAAAAACCTGACAGAATGATTCTCAGAAACTGCTTTGTGATGTATGCGTTCAATTCAAAGAGTTCTACCTTTCTTTTCATAGAGCACTTAGGAAACACTCTGTTTGTAAAGACTGTAAGTGGATATTCGGACCTCTATGAGGCCTTCTTTGGAAAAGGGATTTCTTCATATAATGCTAGACAGAGGAATTCTTCGTAACTTCTTTGTATTGTGTGTATTCAACTCACAGAGTTGAACCTTCTTTTAGATAGAGCAGATTTGAAACACACTTTTTGTGGAATTTCCAATCGGAGATTTCAAGCGCTTTGGGGCCAATGGTAGAAAAGGAAAAATCTTCACATAAAAACTAGACAAAATCATTCCCAGAAACTGTGTAGTGATGTGTATGTTTAACTCACAGAGTTTATCCTTTCTTTTCATAGAGCAGTTGGGAAACACTCTGTTTGAAAAGTCTGCATGTGGATATTTGGACCGCCATGAGGCGTTCTTTGGAAATGGTATTTCTTCATTTAAGGCTACACAGAAGAATTCTCAGTAACTTCCTCGTGTTGTGTGTATTCAGCTCACAGAGTTGAACCTTCTTTTAGATAGAGCAGATTTGAAAGACACTTTTTGGGGAATTTGCAAGTGGGGATTTCAAGCGCTTTGAGGCCAACGGTAGAAAAGGAAATATCTTCGAATAAAAAGTAGACAGAATCATTCCCAGAAACTGCGTTTTGATGTGTGCGTTCACCTAACAGAGTTTAACCTTCCTTTTCATAGAGCAGTTGGGAAACGCTATGTTTGTAAAGTCTGCAAGTGGATATTGGGAACTCTTTGAGGCCTTCATTGGGAATGGGGTTTCTTCATATAATGCTAGACAGAAGATTTCCCAGTAACTTCTTCCTGTTGTGTGTATTCAACTGACAACAGATGAACCTTCCTTTAGAGAGAGCAGATTTGAAACACTCTTTTTGTGGAATTTGCAAGTGGAGATTTCAGCCGCTTTAACGTCAATGGTAGAAAAGGAAATATCTTCGCATAAAAGCAAGACAGAATCATTTTCAGAAACTGCTTTGTGATGTGTGCATTCAACTCACAGAGTTTAACCTTTGTTTTCCTAGAGCCGTTTGGAAACACACAGTTTGTCAAATCTGTAAGTCGATATTCGGACCTATTTGAGGCCTTCGTTGGAAACGGGATTTCTTCATATAATGCTAGAAAGAAGAATTCTCAGTAACTTCCTAGTGTTGTGTGTAATCAACTCACAGAATAGAACGTTCCTTTAGATAGAGCAGATTTGAAACACTCTTTTTGTGGAAGTTGCACGTGGAGATTTCAAGCGCTTTGTGGCCAGTGGTAGAAAATGAAATATCTTCGTATAAAAAGTACACAGAATCATTCTCAGAAACTACTTTCTGATGTGTGCGTTCAACTCTCGGAGTTTAAACTTTCTTTTCATAGAGCAGTTTGGAAACAGTGTGTTTGTAAAGTCTGCAAGTGGATATTCGGACCTCTTTAGCGCCTTATTTTGAAACGGGGTTTCTCCATATAATGCTAGACAGAAGAATTCTCAGTAACTTGTTTGTGTTGTGTGTGTTCAACTCACAGAGTTGAACCTTCCTTTAGACAGAGCAGATTTGAAACACTCTTTTTGTGGAATTTGCAAGTGGAGATTTCAAGCGCTTTGAGGCCAAAGGCAGAAAAGGAAATATCTTCGTATAAAAACTAGATAGATCATTCTCAGAAACTGGTTTGTGATGTGTGCGTTCAACTCACAGAGTTTCACTT
The DNA here is from genome assembly GCF_000001405.40 of Homo sapiens. NCBI lineage: Eukaryota > Metazoa > Chordata > Mammalia > Primates > Hominidae > Homo > Homo sapiens. The sequence continues at coordinate 47,258,378 of NC_000005.10, forward strand.
ATCTTTTCGTACAGCAGTTTGGAAACACTCTGTTTGTAATGTCTGCAAGTGGATATTTTGACCTCTTTGAGGTCTTCATTGGAAACGGGTTTTATTCATGTAAGGCTAGACAGAAGAATTCTCAGTAACTTCTTTGTATTGTGTGTATTCCACTGACAGAGTTGACCCTTCCTTTAGACAGAGCACATTTGAACCACTCTTTTTGTGGAATTTGCAAGTGGAGATTTCAGACGCATTGAGGTCAATGGTAGAAAAGGAAATATCTTCGTATAAAAACTAGACAGAATGATTCTCAGAAACTGCTTCGTGATGTGTGTGTTCAGTTCAAAGAGTTTTACCTTTCTTTTCATAGAGCAGTTAGGAAACACTCTGTTTGAACAGTCTGAAAGTTGATATCCCGATCTCTTTGAGGCCTTCGTTGGAAAAGGGATTTCTTCATATAATGCTAGACAGAGGAATTCTCAGTAACTTCTTTGTGTTGTGTGTACTCAAGTCACAGAGTTGAACGTTCCTTTAGACAGAGCAGACTTGAAACACTCTTTTTGTGGAATTTGCAATTGGAAATTTCAAGCGCTTTGAGGCCAAAGGCAGAAGAGGAAACATCTTCGTATAAAAACAAGTCAGAATCATTCTCAGAAACTGCTTAATCATGTGTGCGTTCGACTCACGGAGTTTAACCTACCTTTTCATACAGCAGTTTGGAAACACTCTGTTTGTAAAGTCTGCACGTGGATATTTGGACATCTTTGAGGCCTTCATTGGAAACGGGTTTTATTCATGTAAGGCTAGACAGAAGATTTCTCAGTAACTTGTTTGTGTTGTGTGTATTCAACTGACAGAGTTGACCCTTCTTTTAGGTAGAGCAGATTTGACACACTCTTTTTGTGGAATTTGCAAGTGCAGATTTCAGACGCTTTGAGGTCAATGGTAGAAAAGGACATTTCTTCGTATAAAAACTTGACAGAATGATTCTCAGAAACTGCTTTGTGATGTATGCGTTCAATTCAAAGAGTTCTACCTTTCTTTTCATAGAGCACTTAGGAAACACTCTGTTTGTAAAGACTGCAAGTGGATATTCGGACCTCTATGACGCCTTCTTTGGAAAAGGGTTTTCTTCATATAATGCTAGACAGAGGAATTCTTCGTAACTTCTTTGTATTGTGTGTATTCAACTCACAGAGTTGAACCTTCTTTTAGATAGAGCAGATTTGAAACACACTTTCTGTGGAATTTCCAATTGGAGATTTCAAGCGCTTCGGGGCCAATGGTAGAAAAGGAAAAATCTTCACATAAAAACTAGACAAAATCATTCCCAGAAACTGTGTAGTGATGTGTATGTTTAACTCACAGAGTTTATCCTTTCTTTTCATAGAGCAGTAGGGAAACACTCTGTTTGAAAAGTCTGCATGTGGATATTTGGACCGCCATGAGGCGTTCTTTGGAAATGGTATTTCTTCATTTAAGGCTACACAGAAGAATTCTCAGTAACTTCCTCGTGTTGTGTGTATTCAGCTCACAGAGTTGAACCTTCTTTTAGATAGAGCAGATTTGAAAGACACTTTTTGGGGAATTTGCAAGTGGGGATTTCAAGCGCTTTGAGGCCAACGGTAGAAAAGGAAATATCTTCGAATAAAAAGTAGACAGAATCATTCCCAGAAACTGCGTTTTGATGTGTGCGTTCACCTAACAGAGTTTAACCTTCCTTTTCATAGAGCAGTTGGGAAACGCTATGTTTGTAAAGTCTGCAAGTGGATATTGGGAACTCTTTGAGGCCTTCATTGGGAATGGGGTTTCTTCATATAATGCTAGACAGAAGATTTCCCAGTAACTTCTTCCTGTTGTGTGTATTCAACTGACAACAGATGAACCTTCCTTTAGAGAGAGCAGATTTGAAACACTCTTTTTGTGGAATTTGCAAGTGGAGATTTCAGCCGCTTTAACGTCAATGGTAGAAAAGGAAATATCTTCGCATAAAAACAAGACAGAATCATTTTCAGAAACTGCTTTGTGATGTGTGCATTCAACTCACAGAGTTTAACCTTTGTTTTCATAGAGCCGTTTGGAAACACACAGTTTGTCAAATCTGTAAGTCGATATTCGGACCTATTTGAGGCCTTCGTTGGAAACGGGATTTCTTCATATAATGCTAGAAAGAAGAATTCTCAGTAACTTCCTTGTGTTGTGTGTAATCAACACACAGGAATAGAACGTTCCTTTAGATAGAGCAGATTTGAAACACTCTTTTTGTGGAAGTTGCACGTGGAGATTTCAAGCGCTTTGTGACCAGTGGTAGAAAATGAAATATCTTCGTATAAAAAGTACACAGAATCATTCTCAGAAACTACTTTCTGATGTGTGCGTTCAACTCTCGGAGTTTAAACTTTCTTTTCATAGAGCAGTTTGGAAACAGTGTGTTTGTAAAGTCTGCAAGTGGATATTCGGACCTCTTTGGCGCCTTATTTTGAAACGGGGTTTCTCCATATAATGCTAGACAGAAGAATTCTCAGTAACTTGTTTGTGTTGTGTGTGTTCAACTCACAGAGTTGAACCTTCCTTTAGACAGAGCAGATTTGAAACACTCTTTTTGTGGAATTTGCAAGTGGAGATTTCAAGCGCTTTGAGGCCAAAGGCAGAAAAGGAAATATCTTCGTATAAAAACTAGATAGTCATTCTCAGAAACTGCTTTGTGATGTGTGCGTTCAACTCACAGAGTTTCACTTATCTTTTCGTACAGCAGTTTGGAAACACTCTGTTTGTAATGTCTGCAAGTGGATATTTTGACCTCTTTGAGGTCTTCGTTGGAAACGGGTTTTATTCATGTAAGGCTAGACAGAAGAATTCTCAGTAACTTCTTTGTATTGTGTGTATTCCACTGACAGAGTTGACCCTTCCTTTAGACAGAGCACATTTGAACCACTCTTTTTGTGGAATTTGCAAGTGGAGATTTCAGACGCATTGAGGTCAACGGTGGAAAAGGAAATATCTTTGTATAAAAACTAGACAGAATGATTCTCAGAACCTGCTTCGTGATGTGTGTGTTCAGTTCAAAGAGTTTTACCTTTCTTTTCATAGAGCAGTTAGGAAACACTCTGTTTGAACAGTCTGAAAGTGGATATTCCGATCTCTTTGAGGCCTTCGTTGGAAAAGGGATTTCTTCATATAATGCTAGACAGAGGAATTCTCAGTAACTTCTCTGTGTTGTGTGTATTCAAATCACAGAGTTGAACGTTCCTTTAGACAGAGCAGACTTGAAACACTCTTTTTGTGGAATTTGCAATAGGAAATTTCAAGCGCTTTGAGGCCAAAGGCAGAAGAGGAAATATCTTCGTATAAAAACAAGTCAGAATCATTCTCAGAAACTGCTTAATCATGTGTGCGTTCGACTCACGGAGTTTAACCTACCTTTTCATACAGCAGTTTGGAAACACTCTGTTTGTAAAGTCTGCACGTGGATATTTGGACATCTTTGAGGCCTTCGTTGGAAACGGGTTTTATTCATGTAAGGCTAGACAGAAGATTTCTCAGTAACTTCTTTGTGTTGTGTGTATTCAACTGACAGAGTTGACCCTTCTTTTAGGTAGAGCAGATTTGAGACACTCTTTTTGTGGAATTTGCAAGTGGAGATTTCAGACGCTTTGAGGTCAATGGTAGAAAAGGACATTTCTTCGTATAAAAACTTGACAGAATGATTCTCAGAAACTGCTTCGTGATGTATGCGTTCAATTCAAAGAGTTTTACCTTTCTTTTCATAGAGCACTTAGGAAACACTCTGTTTGTAAAGACTGCAAGTGGATATTCGGACCTCTATGAGGCCTTCTTTGGAAAAGGGATTTCTTCATATAATCCTAGACAGAGGAATTCTTAGTAACTTCTTTGTATTGTGTGTATTCAACTCACAGAGTTGAACCTTCTTTTAGATAGAGTAGATTTGAAACACACTTTTTGTGGAATTCCCAATTGGAGATTTCAAGCGCTTTGGGGCCAATGGTAGAAAAGGAAAAATCTTCACATAAAAACTAGACAAAATCATTCCCAGAAACTGTGTAGTGATGTGTATGTTTAACTCACAGAGTTTATCCTTTCTTTTCATAGAGCAGTTGGGAAACACTCTGTTTGAAAAGTCTGCATGTGGATATTTGGACCGCCATGAGGCGTTCTTTGGAAATGGTATTTCTTCATTTAAGGCTACACAGAAGAATTCTCAGTAACTTCCTTGTGTTGTGTGTATTCAGCTCACAGAGTTGAACCTTCTTTTAGATAGAGCAGATTTGAAAGACACTTTTTGGGGAATTTGCAAGTGGGGATTTCAAGCGCTTTGAGGCCAACGGTAGAAAAGGAAATATCTTCGAATAAAAAGTAGACAGAATCATTCCCAGAAACTGCGTTTTGATGTGTGCGTTCACCTAACAGAGTTTAACCTTCCTTTTCATAGAGCAGTTGGGAAACGCTATGTTTGTAAAGTCTGCAAGTGGATATTGGGAACTCTTTGAGGCCTTCATTGGGAATGGGGTTTCTTCATATAATGCTAGACAGAAGATTTCCCAGTAACTTCTTCCTGTTGTGTGTATTCAACTGACAACAGATGAACCTTCCTTTAGAGAGAGCAGATTTGAAACACTCTTTTTGTGGAATTTGCAAGTGGAGATTTCAGCCGCTTTAACGTCAATGGTAGAAAAGGAAATATCTTCGCATAAAAACAAGACAGAATCATTTTCAGAAACTGCTTTGTGATGTGTGCATTCAACTCACAGAGTTTAACCTTTGTTTTCCTAGAGCCGTTTGGAAACACACAGTTTGTCAAATCTGTAAGTCGATATTCGGACCTATTTGAGGCCTTCGTTGGAAACGGGATTTCTTCATATAATGCTAGAAAGAAGAATTCTCAGTAACTTCCTAGTGTTGTGTGTAATCAACTCACAGAATAGAACGTTCCTTTAGATAGAGCAGATTTGAAACACTCTTTTTGTGGAAGTTGCACGTGGAGATTTCAAGCGCTTTGTGGCCAGTGGTAGAAAATGAAATATCTTCGTATAAAAAGTACACAGAATCATTCTCAGAAACTACTTTCTGATGTGTGCGTTCAACTCTCGGAGTTTAAACTTTCTTTTCATAGAGCAGTTTGGAAACAGTGTGTTTGTAAAGTCTGCAAGTGGATATTCGGACCTCTTTGGCGCCTTATTTTGAAACGGGGTTTCTCCATATAATGCTACACAGAAGAATTCTCGGTAACTTGTATGTGTTGTGTGTGTTCAACTCACAGAGTTGAACCTTCCTTTAGACAGAGCAGATTTGAAACACTCTTTTTGTGGAATTTGCAAGTGGAGATTTCAAGCGCTTTGAGGCCAAAGGCAGAAAAGGAAATATCTTCGTATAAAAACTAGATAGAATCATTCTCAGAAACTGCTTTGTGATGTGTGCGTTCAACTCACAGAGTTTCACTTAACTTTTCGTACAGCAGTTTGGAAACACTCTGTTTGTAATGTCTGCAAGTGGATATTTTGACCTCTTTGAGGTCTTCGTTGGAAACGGGTTTTATTCATGTAAGGCTAGACAGAAGAATTCTCAGTAACTTCTTTGTATTGTGTGTATTCCACTGACAGAGTTGACCCTTCCTTTAGACAGAGCACATTTGAACCACTCTTTTTGTGGAATTTGCAAGTGGAGATTTCAGACGCATTGAGGTCAATGGTAGAAAAGGAAATATCTTCATATAAAAACTAGACAGAATGATTCTCAGAACCTGTTTCGTGATGTGTGTGTTCAGTTCAAAGAGTTTTACCTTTCTTTTCATAGAGCAGTTAGGAAACACTCTGTTTGAACAGTCTGAAAGTTGATATTCCGATCTCTTTGAGGCCTTCGTTGGAAAAGGGATTTCTTCATATAATGCTAGACAGAGGAATTCTCAGTAACTTCTCTGTGTTGTGTGTATTCAAATCACAGAGTTGAACGTTCCTTTAGACAGAGCAGACTTGAAACACTCTTTTTGTGGAATTTGCAATAGGAAATTTCAAGCGATTTGAGGCCAAAGGCAGAAGAGGAAATATCTTCGTATAAAAACAAGTCAGAATCATTCTCAGAAACTGCTTTATCATGTGTGCGTTCAACTCACGGAGTTTAACCTACCTTTTCATACAGCAGTTTGCAAACACTCTGTTTGTAAAGTCTGCAAGTAGATATTTGGACATCTTTGAGGCCTTCGTTGGAAACGGGTTTTATTCATGTAAGGCTAGACAGAAGATTTCTCAGTAACTTCTTTGTGTTGTGTGTATTCAACTGACAGAGTTGACCCTTCTTTTAGACAGAGCAGATTTGAAACACTCTTTTTGTGGAATTTGCAAGTGGAGATTTCAGACGCTTTGAGGTCAATGGTAGAAAAGGAAATTTCTTCGTATAAAAACTTGACAGAATGATTCTCAGAAACTGCTTCGTGATGTATGCGTTCAATTCAAAGAGTTTTACCTTTCTTTTCATAGAGCACTTAGGAAACACTCTGTTTGTAAAGACTGCAAGTGGATATTCGGACCTCTATGAGGACTTCTTTGGAAAAGGGATTTCTTCATATAATGCTAGACAGAGGAATTCTTCGTAACTTCTTTGTATTGTGTGTATTCAACTCACAGAGTTGAACCTTCTTTTAGATAGAGCAGATTTGAAACACACTTTCTGTGGAATTTCCAATTGGAGATTTCAAGTGCTTCGGGGCCAATGGTAGAAAAGGTAAAATCTTCACATAAAAACTAGACAAAATCATTCCCAGAAACTGTGTAGTGATGTGGATGTTTAACTCACAGAGTTTATCCTTTCTTTTCATAGAGCAGTTGGGAAACACTCTGTTTGAAAAGTCTGCATGTGGATATTTGGACCGCCATGAGGCGTTCTTTGGAAATGGTATTTCTTCATTTAAGGCTACACAGAAGAATTCTCAGTAACTTCCTTGTGTTGTGTGTATTCAGCTCACAGAGTTGAACCTTCTTTTAGATAGAGCAGATTTGAAAGACACTTTTTGGGGAATTTGCAAGTGGGGATTTCAAGCGCTTTGGGGCCAACGGTAGAAAAGGAAATATCTTCGAATAAAAAGTAGACAGAATCATTCCCAGAAACTGCGTTTTGATGTGTGCGTTCACCTAACAGAGTTTAACCTTCCTTTTCATAGAGCAGTTGGGAAACGCTATGTTTGTAAAGTCTGCAAGTGGATATTGGGAACTCTTTGAGGCCTTCATTGGGAATGGGGTTTCTTCATATAATGCTAGACAGAAGATTTCCCAGTAACTTCTTCCTGTTGTGTGTATTCAACTGACAACAGATGAACCTTCCTTTAGAGAGAGCAGATTTGAAACACTCTTTTTGTGGAATTTGCAAGTGGAGATTTCAGCCGCTTTAACGTCAATGGTAGAAAAGGAAATATCTTCGCATAAAAGCAAGACAGAATCATTTTCAGAAACTGCTTTGTGATGTGTGCATTCAACTCACAGAGTTTAACCTTTGTTTTCATAGAGCCGTTTGGAAACACACAGTTTGTCAAATCTGTAAGTCGATATTCGGACCTATTTGAGGCCTTCGTTGGAAACGGGATTTCTTCATATAATGCTAGAAAGAAGAATTCTCAGTAACTTTCCTTGTGTTGTGTGTAATCAACACACAGAATAGAACGTTCCTTTAGATAGAGCAGATTTGAAACACTCTTTTTGTGGAAGTTGCACGTGGAGATTTCAAGCGCTTTGTGACCAGTGGTAGAAAATGAAATATCTTCGTATAAAAAGTACACAGAATCATTCTCAGAAACTACTTTCTGATGTGTGCGTTCAACTCTCGGAGTTTAAACTTTCTTTTCATAGAGCAGTTTGGAAACAGTGTTTTTGTAAAGTCCGCAAGTGGATATTCGGACCTCTTTGGCGCCTTATTTTGAAACGGGGTTTCTCCATATAATGCTAGACAAAAGAATTCTCAATAACTTGTTTGTGTTGTGTGTGTTCAACTCACAGAGTTGAATCTTCTTTTAGACAGAGCAGATTTGAAACACTCTTTTTGTGGAATTTGCAAGTGGAGATTTCAAGCGCTTTGAGGCCAAAGGCAGAAAAGGAAATATCTTCGTATAAAAACTAGATAGATCATTCTCAGAAACTGCTTTGTGATGTGTGCGTTCAACTCACAGAGTTTCACTTATCTTTTCGTACAGCAGTTTGGAAACACTCTGTTTGTAATGTCTGCATGTGGATATTTTGACCTCTTTGAGGTCTTCTTTGGAAACGGGTTTTATTCATGTAAGGCTAGACAGAAGAATTCTCAGTAACTTCTTTGTATTGTGTGTATTCCACTGACAGAGTTGACCCTTCCTTTAGACAGAGCACATTTGAACCACTCTTTTTGTGGAATTTGCAAGTGGAGATTTCAGACGCATTGAGGTCAATGGTAGAAAAGGAAATATCTTCGTATAAAAACTGTACAGAATGATTCTCAGAACCTGCTTCGTGATGTGTGTGTTCAGTTCAAAGAGTTTTACCTTTCTTTTCATAGAGCAGTTAGGAAACACTCTGTTTGAACAGTCTGAAAGTGGATATTCCGATCTCTTTGAGGCCTTCGTTGGAAAAGGGATTTCTTCATATAATGCTAGACAGAGGAATTCTCAGTAACTTCTCTGTGTTGTGTGTATTCAAATCACAGAGTTGAACGTTCCTTTAGACAGAGCAGACTTGAAACACTCTTTTTTGTGGAATTTGCAATAGGAAATTTCAAGCGCTTTGAGGCCAAAGGCAGAAGAGGAAATATCTTCGTATAAAAACAAGTCAGAATCATTCTCAGAAACTGCTTAATAATGTGTGCGTTCGAATCACGGAGTTTAACCTACCTTTTCATACAGCAGTTTGGAAACACTCTGTTTGTAAAGTCTGCACGTGGATATTTGGACATCTTTGAGGCCTTCGTTGGAAACGGGTTTTATTCATGTAAGGCTAGACAGAAGATTTCTCAGTAACTTCTTTGTGTTGTGTGTATTCAACTGACAGAGTTGACCCTTCTTTTAGGTAGAGCAGATTTGACACACTCTTTTTGTGGAATTTGCAAGTGCAGATTTCAGACGCTTTGAGGTCAATGGTAGAAAAGGAAATTTCTTCGTATAAAAACTTGACAGAATGATTCTCAGAAACTGCTTTGTGATGTATGCGTTCAATTCAAAGAGTTCTACCTTTCTTTTCATAGAGCACTTAGGAAACACTCTGTTTGTAAAGACTGCAAGTGGATATTCGGACCTCTATGAGGCCTTCTTTGGAAAAGGGATTTCTTCATATAATGCTAGACAGAGGAATTCTTCGTAACTTCTTTGTATTGTGTGTATTCAACTCACAGAGTTGAACCTTCTTTTAGATAGAGCAGATTTGAAACACACTTTTTGTGGAATTTCCAATTGGAGATTTCAAGCGCTTCGGGGCCAATGGTAGAAAAGGAAAAATCTTCACATAAAAACTAGACAAAATCATTCCCAGAAACTGTGTAGTGATGTGTATGTTTAACTCACAGAGTTTATCCTTTCTTTTCATAGAGCAGTTGGGAAACACTCTGTTTGAAAAGTCTGCATGTGGATATTTGGACCGCCATGAGGCGTTCTTTGGAAATGGTATTTCTTCATTTAAGGCTACACAGAAGAAGTCTCAGTAACTTCCTTGTGTTGTGTGTTTTCAGCTCACAGAGTTGAACCTTCTTTTAGATAGAGCAGATTTGAAAGACACTTTTTGGGGAATTTGCAAGTGGGGATTTCAAGCGCTTTGAGGCCAACGGTAGAAAAGGAAATATCTTCGAATAAAAAGTAGACAGAATCATTCCCAGAAACTGCGTTTTGATGTGTGCGTTCACCTAACAGAGTTTAACCTTCCTTTTCATAGAGCAGTTGGGAAACGCTATGTTTGTAAAGTCTGCAAGTGGATATTGGGAACTCTTTGAGGCCTTCATTGGGAATGGGGTTTCTTCATATAATGCTAGACAGAAGATTTCCCAGTAACTTCTTCCTGTTGTGTGTATTCAACTGACAACAGATGAACCTTCCTTTAGAGAGAGCATATTTGAAACACTCTTTTTGTGGAAGTTGCAAGTGGAGATTTCAGCCGCTTTAACGTCAATGGTAGAAAAGGAAATATCTTCGCATAAAAACAAGACAGAATCATTTTCAGAAACTGCTTTGTGATGTGTGCATTCAACTCACAGAGTTTAACCTTTGTTTTCATAGAGCCGTTTGGAAACACACAGTTTGTCAAATCTGTAAGTCGATATTCGGACCTATTTGAGGCCTTCGTTGGAAACGGGATTTCTTCATATAATGCTAGAAAGAAGATTTCCCAGTAACTTCTTCCTGTTGTGTGTATTCAACTGACAACAGATGAACCTTCCTTTCGAGAGAGCAGATTTGAAACACTCTTTTTGTGGAAGTTTCACGTGGAGATTTCAAGCGCTTTGTGGCCAGTGGTAGAAAATGAAATATCTTCGTATAAAAAGTACACAGAATCATTCTCAGAAACTACTTTCTGATGTGTGCGTTCAACTCTCGGAGTTTAAACTTTCTTTTCATAGAGCAGTTTGGAAACAGTGTGTTTGTAAAGTCTGCAAGTGGATATTCGGACCTCTTTGGCGCCTTAATTTGAAACGGGGTTTCTCCATATAATGCTAGACAGAAAGAATTCTCAGTAACTTGTTTGTGTTGTGTGTGTTCAACTCACAGAGTTGAACCTTCCTTTAGACAGAGCAGATTTGAAACACTCTTTTTGTGGAATTTGCAAGTGGAGATTTCAAGCGCTTTGAGGCCAAAGGCAGAAAAGGAAATATCTTCGTATAAAAACTAGATAGATCATTCTCAGAAACTGCTTTGTGGTGTGTGCGTTGAACTCACAGAGTTTAACTTAACTTTTCATACAGCAGTTTGGAAACACTCTGTTTCTCATGTCTGCAAGTGGATATTTTGATCTCTTTGAGGTCTTCGTTGGAAACGGGTTTTATTCATGTAAGGCTAGACAGAAGAATTCTCAGTAACTTCTTTGTATTGTGTGCATTCCACTGACAGAGTTGACCCTTCCTTTAGACAGAGCACATTTGACCCACTCTTTTTCTGGAATTTGCATGTGGAGATTTCAGACGCATTGAGGACAATGGTAGAAAAGGAAATACCTTCGTAGAAAAACTAGACGGAATGATTCTCAGAACCTGCTTCGTGATGTGTGTGTTCAGTTCAAAGAGTTTTACCTTTCTTTTCATAGAGCAGTTAGGGAATACTCTGTTTGAACAGTCTGAAAGTGGATATTCCGATCTCTTTGAGGCCTTCATTGGAAAAGGGATTTCTTCATATAATGCTAGACAGAGGAATTCTCAGTAACTTCTCTGTGTTGTGTGTATTCAAATCACAGAGTTGAACGTTCCTTTAGACAGAGCAGACTTGAAACACTCTTTTTGTGGAATTTGCAATAGGAAATTTCAAGCGCTTTGAGGCCAAAGGCAGAAGAGGAAATATCTTCGTATAAAAACAAGTCAGAATCATTCTCAGAAACTGCTTAATCATGTGTGCGTTCGACTCACGGAGTTTAACCTACCTTTTCATACAGCAGTTTGGAAACACTCTGTTTGTAAAGTCTGCACGTGGATATTTGGACATCTTTGAGGCCTTCGTTGGAAACGGGTTTTATTCATGTAAGGCTAGACAGAAGATTTCTCAGTAACTTCTTTCTGTTGTGTGTATTCAACTGACAGAGTTGACCCTTCTTTTAGGTAGAGCAGATTTCAAACACTCTTTTTGTGGAATTTGCAAGTGGAGATTTCAGACGCTTTGAGGTCAATGGTAGAAAAGGACATTTCTTCGTATAAAAACTTGACAGAATGATTCTCAGAAACTGCTTTGTGATGTATGCGTTCAATTCAAAGAGTTCTACCTTTCTTTTCATAGAGCACTTAGGAAACACTCTGTTTGTAAAGACTGCAAGTGGATATTCGGACCTCTATGAGGCCTTCTTTGGAAAAGGGATTTCTTCATATAATGCTAGACAGAGGAATTCTTCGTAACTTCTTTGTATTGTGTGTATTCAACTCACAGAGTTGAACCTTCTTTTAGATAGAGCAGATTTGAAACACACTTTTTGTGGAATTTCCAATTGGAGATTTCAAGCGCTTCGGGGCCAATGGTAGAAAAGGAAAAATCTTCACATAAAAACTAGACAAACTCATTCCCAGAAACTGTGTAGTGATGTGTATGTTTAACTCACAGAGTTTATCCTTTCTTTTCATAGAGCAGTTGGGAAACACTCTGTTTGAAAAGTCTGCATGTGGATATTTGGACCGCCATGAGGCGTTCTTTGGAAATGGTATTTCTTCATTTAAGGCTACACAGAAGAATTCTCAGTAACTTCCTTGTGTTGTGTGTATTCAGCTCACAGAGTTGAACCTTCTTTTAGATAGAGCAGATTTGAAAGACACTTTTTGGGGAATTTGCAAGTGGGGATTTCAAGCGCTTTGAGGCCAACGGTAGAAAAGGATATATCTTCGAATAAAAAGTAGACAGAATCATTCCCAGAAACTGCGTTTTGATGTGTGCGTTCACCTAACAGAGTTTAACCTTCCTTTTCATAGAGCAGTTGGGAAACGCTATGTTTGTAAAGTCTGCAAGTGGATATTGGGAACTCTTTGAGGCCTTCATTGGGAATGGGGTTTCTTCATATAATGCTAGACAGAAGATTTCCCAGTAACTTCTTCCTGTTGTGTGTATTCAACTGACAACAGATGAACCTTCCTTTAGAGAGAGCAGATTTGAAACACTCTTTTTGTGGAATTTGCAAGTGGAGATTTCAGCCGCTTTAACGTCAATGGTAGAAAAGGAAATATCTTCGCATAAAAACAAGACAGAATCATTTTCAGAAACTGCTTTGTGATGTGTGCATTCAACTCACAGAGTTTAACCTTTGTTTTCATAGAGCCGTTTGGAAACACACAGTTTGTCAAATCTGTAAGTCGATATTCGGACCTATTTGAGGCCTTCGTTGGAAACGGGATTTCTTCATATAATGCTAGAAAGAAGAATTCTCAGTAACTTCCTTGTGTTGTGTGTAATCAACTCACAGAATAGAACGTTCCTTTAGATAGAGCAGATTTGAAACACTCTTTTTGTGGAAGTTGCACGTGGAGATTTCAAGCGCTTTGTGGTCAGTGGTAGAAAATGAAATATCTTCGTATAAAAAGTACACAGAATCATTCTCAGAAACTACTTTCTGATGTGTGCGTTCAACTCTCGGAGTTTAAACTTTCTTTTCATAGAGCAGTTTGGAAACAGTGTGTTTGTAATGTCCGCAAGTGGATATTCGGACCTCTTTGGCGCCTTATTTTGAAACGGGGTTTCTCCATATAATGCTAGACAAAAGAATTCTCAATAACTTGTTTGTGTTGTGTGTGTTCAACTCACACAGTTGAATCTTCTTTTAGACAGAGCAGATTTGAAACACTCTTTTTGTGGAATTTGCAAGTGGAGATTTCAAGCGCTTTGAGGCCAAAGGCAGAAAAGGAAATATCTTCGTATAAAAACTAGGTAGTCATTCTCAGAAACTGCTTTGTGATGTGTGCGTTCAACTCACAGAGTTTCACTTATCTTTTCGTACAGCAGCTTGGAAACACTCTGTTTGTAATGTCTGCAAGTGGATATTTTGACCTCTTTTAGGTCTTCGTTGGAAACGGGTTTTATTCATGTAAGGCTAGACAGAAGAATTCTCAGTAACTTCTTTGTATTGTGTGTATTCCACTGACAGAGTTGACCCTTCCTTTAGACAGAGCACATTTGAACCACTCTTTTTGTGGAATTTGCAAGTGGAGATTTCAGACGCATTGAGGTCAATGGTAGAAAAGGAAATATCTTCGTATAAAAACTAGACAGAAATGATTCTCAGTAACCTGCTTCGTGATGTGTGTGTTCAGTTCAAAGAGTTTTACCTTTCTTTTCATAGAGCAGTTAGGAAACACTCTGTTTGAACAGTCTGAAAGTGGATATTCCGATCTCTTTGAGGCCTTTGTTGGAAAAGGGATTTCTTCATATAATGCTAGACAGAGGAATTCTCAGTAACTTCTCTGTGTTGTGTGTATTCAAATCACAGAGGCGAACGTTCCTTTAGACAGAGCAGACTTGAAACACTCTTTTTGTGGAATTTGCATTTGGAAATTTCAAGCGCTTTTAGGCCAAAGGCAGAAGAGGAAATATCTTCGTATAAAAACAAGTCAGAATCATTCTCAGAAACTGCTTAATCATGTGTGCGTTCAACTCACGAAGTTTAACCTACCTTTTCTTACAGCAGTTTGGAAACACTCTGTTTGTAAAATCTGCACGTGGATATTTGGACATCTTTGAGGCCTTCGTTGGAAACGGGTTTTATTCATGTAAGGCTAGACAGAGCACCTCTCAGTAACTTCTTTGTGTTGTGTGTATTCAACTGACAGAGTTGACCCTTCTTTTAGACAGAGCAGATTTGAAACACTCTTTTTGTGGAATTTGCAAGTGGAGATTTCAGACGCTTTGAGGTCAATGGTAGAAAAGGAAATTTCTTCGTATAAAAACTTGACAGAATGATTCTCAGAAACTGCTTTGTGATGTATGCGTTCAATTCAAAGAGTTCTACCTTTCTTTTCATAGAGCACTTAGGAAACACTCTGTTTGTTAAGACTGCAAGTGGATATTCGGACCTCTATGAGGCCTTCTTTGGAAAAGGGATTTCTTCATATAATGCTAGACAGAGGAATTCTTCGTAACTTCTTTGTATTGTGTGTATTCAACTCACAGAGTTGAACCTTCTTTTAGATAGAGCAGATTTGAAACACACTTTTTGTGGAATTTCCAATTGGAGATTTCAAGCGCTTCGGGGCCAATGGTAGAAAAGGAAAAATCTTCACATAAAAACTAGACAAACTCATTCCCAGAACCGGTGTAGTGATGTGTATGTTTAACTCACAGAGTTTATCCTTTCTTTTCATAGAGCTGTTGGGAAACACTCTGTTTGAAAAGTCTGCATGTGGATATTTGGACCGCCATGAGGCGTTCTTTGGAAATGGTATTTCTTCATTTAAGGCTACACAGAAGAATTCTCAGTAACTTCCTTGTGTTGTGTGTATTCAGCTCACAGAGTTGAACCTTCTTTTAGATAGAGCAGATTTGAAAGTCACTTTTTGGGGAATTTGCAAGTGGGGATTTCAAGCGCTTTGAGGCCAACGGTAGAAAAGGAAATATCTTCGAATAAAAAGTAGACAGAATCATTCCCAGAAACTGCGTTTTGATGTGTGCGTTCACCTAACAGAGTTTAACCTTCCTTTTCATAGAGCAGTTGGGAAACGCTATGTTTGTAAAGTCTGCAAGTGGATATTGGGAACTCTTTGAGGCCTTCATTGGGAATGGGGTTTCTTCATATAATGCTAGACAGAAGATTTCCCAGTAACTTCTTCCTGTTGTGTGTATTCAACTGACAACAGATGAACCTTCCTTTAGAGAGAGCAGATTTGAAACACTCTTTTTGTGGAATTTGCAAGTGGAGATTTCAGCCGCTTTAACGTCAATGGTAGAAACGGAAATATCTTCGCATAAAAACAAGACAGAATCATTTTCAGAAACTGCTTTGTGATGTGTGCATTCAACTCACAGAGTTTAACCTTTGTTTTCATAGAGCCGTTTGGAAACACACAGTTTGTCAAATCTGTAAGTCGATATTCGGAACTATTTGAGGCCTTCGTTGGAAACGGGATTTCTTCATATAATGCTAGAAAGAAGAATTCTCAGTAACTTCCTTGTGTTGTGTGTAATCAACTCACAGAATAGAACGTTCCTTTAGATAGAGCAGATTTGAAACACTCTTTTTGTGGAAGTTGCACGTGGAGATTTCAAGCGCTTTGTGGCCAGTGGTAGAAAATGAAATATGCTTCGTATAAAAAGTACACAGAATCATTCTCAGAAACTACTTTCTGATGTGTGCATTCAACTCAAAGAGTTTAAACTTTCTTTTCATAGAGCAGTTTGGAAACAGTCTGTTTGTAAAGTCTGCAAGTGGATATTCGGACCTCTCTGGCGCCTTATTTTGAAACGGGGTTTCTCCATATAAGGCTAGACAGAAGAATTCTCAGTAACTTGTTTGTGTTGTGTGTGTTCAACTCACAGAGTTGAACCTTCCTTTAGACAGAGCAGATTTGAAACACTCTTTTTGTGAAATTTGCAAGTGGAGATTTCAAGCGCTTTGAGGCCAAAGGCAGAAAAGGAAATATCTTCGTATAAAAACTAGATAGTCATTCTCAGAAACTGCTTTGTGATGTGTGCGTTCAACTCACAGAGTTTCACTTATCTTTTCGTACAGCAGTTTGCAAACACTCTGTTTGTAATGTCTGCAAGTGGATATTTTGACCTCTTTGAGGTCTTCGTTGGAAACGGGTTTTATTCATGTAAGGCTAGACAGAAGAATTCTCAGTAACTTCTTTGTATTGTGTGTATTCCACTGACAGAGTTGACCCTTCCTTTACACAGAGCACATTTGAACCACTCTTTTTGTGGAATTTGCAAGTGGAGATTTCAGACGCATTGAGGTCAATGGTAGAAAAGGAAATATCTTCGTATAAAAACTAGACAGAATGATTCTCAGAACCTGCTTCGTGATGTGTGTGTTCAGTTCAAAGAGTTTTACCTTTCTTTTCATAGAGCAGTTAGGAAACTCTGTTTGAACAGTCTGAAAGTGGATATTCCGATCGCTTTGAGGCCTTCATTGGAAAAGGGATTTCTTCATATAATGCTAGACAGAGGAATTCTCAGTAACTTCTCTGTGTTGTGTGTATTCAAATCACAGAGTTGAACGTTCCTTTAGACAGAGCAGACTTGAAACACTCTTTTTGTGGAATTTGCAATAGGAAATTTCAAGCGCTTTGAGGCCAAAGGCAGAAGAGGAAATATCTTCGTATAAAAACAAGTCAGAATCATTCTCAGAAACTGCTTAATCATGTGTGCGTTCAACTCACGGAGTTTAACCTACCTTTTCATACAGCAGTTTGGAAACACTCTGTTTGTAAAGTCTGCGCGTGGATATTTGGACATCTTTGAGGCCTTCGTTGGAAACGGGTTTTATTCATGTAAGGCTAGACAGAAGATTTCTCAGTAACTTCTTTGTGTTGTGTGTATTCAACTGACAGAGTTGACCCTTCTTTTATGTAGAGCAGATTTGAGACACTCTTTTTGTGGAATTTGCAAGTGGAGATTTCAGACGCTTTGAGGTCAATGGTAGAAAAGGACATTTCTTCGTATAAAAACTTGACAGAATGATTCTCAGAAAACTGCTTTGTGATGTATGCGTTCAATTCAAAGAGTTCTACCTTTCTTTTCATAGAGCACTTAGGAAACACTCTGTTTGTAAAGACTGCAAGTGGATATTCGGACCTCTATGAGGCCTTCTTTGGAAAAGGGATTTCTTCATATAATGCTAGACAGAGGAATTCTTCGTAACTTCTTTGTATTGTGTGTATTCAACTCACAGAGTTGAACCTTCTTTTAGATAGAGCAGATATGAAACACACTTTTTGTGGAATTTCCAATTGGAGATTTCAAGCGCTTCGGGGCCAATGGTAGAAAAGGAAAAATCTTCACATAAAAACTAGACAAAATCATTCCCAGAAACTGTGTAGTGATGTGTATGTTTAACTCACAGAGTTTATCCTTTCTTTTCATAGAGCAGTTGGGAAACACTCTGTTTGAAAAGTCTGCATGTGGATATTTGGACCGCCATGAGGCGTTCTTTGGAAATGGTATTTCTTCATTTAAGGCTACACAGAAGAATTCTCAGTAACTTTCCTTGTGTTGTGTGTATTCAGCTCACAGAGTTG
Organism: Homo sapiens; assembly: GCF_000001405.40. Lineage (NCBI taxonomy): Eukaryota > Metazoa > Chordata > Mammalia > Primates > Hominidae > Homo > Homo sapiens. The sequence goes on from NC_000005.10 coordinate 47,276,228, forward strand.
AACCTTCTTTTAGATAGAGCAGATTTGAAAGACACTTTTTGGGGAATTTGCAAGTGGGGATTTCAAGCGCTTTGAGGCCAACGGTAGAAAAGGAAATATCTTCGAATAAAAAGTAGACAGAATCATTCCCAGAAACTGCGTTTTGATGTGTGCGTTCACCTAACAGAGTTTAACCTTCCTTTTCATAGAGCAGTTGGGAAACGCTATGTTTGTAAAGTCTGCAAGTGGATATTGGGAACTCTTTGAGGCCTTCATTGGGAATGGGGTTTCTTCATATAATGCTAGACAGAAGATTTCCCAGTAACTTCTTCCTGTTGTGTGTATTCAACTGACAACAGATGAACCTTCCTTTAGAGAGAGCAGATTTGAAACACTCTTTTTGTGGAAGTTGCAAGTGGAGATTTCAGCCGCTTTAACGTCAATGGTAGAAAAGGAAATATCTTCGCATAAAAACAAGACAGAATCATTTTCAGAAACTGCTTTGTGATGTGTGCATTCAACTCACAGAGTTTAACCTTTGTTTTCATAGAGCCGTTTGGAAACACACAGTTTGTCAAATCTGTAAGTCGATATTCGGACCTATTTGAGGCCTTCGTTGGAAACGGGATTTCTTCATATAATGCTAGAAAGAAGAATTCTCAGTAACTTCCTTGTGTTCTGTGTAATCAACTCACAGAATAGAACGTTCCTTTAGATAGAGCAGATTTGAAACACTCTTTTTGTGGAAGTTGCACGTGGAGATTTCAAGCGCTTTGTGGCCAGTGGTAGAAAATGAAATATCTTCGTATAAAAAGTACACAGAATCATTCTCAGAAACTACTTTCTGATGTGTGCGTTCAACTCTCGGAGTTTAAACTTTCTTTTCATAGAGCAGTTTGGAAACAGTGTGTTTGTAAAGTCTGCAAGTGGATATTCGGACCTCTTTGGCGCCTTATTTTGAAACGGGGTTTCTCCATATAATGCTAGACAGAAAGAATTCTCAGTAACTTGTTTGTGTTGTGTGTGTTCAACTCACAGAGTTGAACCTTCCTTTAGACAGAGCAGATTTGAAACACTCTTTTTGTGGAATTTGCAAGTGGAGATTTCAAGCGCTTTGAGGCCAAAGGCAGAAAAGGAAATATCTTCGTATAAAAACTAGATAGATCATTCTCAGAAACTGCTTTGTGATGTGTGCGTTCAACTCACAGAGTTTCACTTATCTTTTCGTACAGCAGTTTGGAAACACTCTGTTTGTAATGTCTGCAAGTGGATATTTTGACCTCTTTGAGGTCTCCGTTGGAAACGGGTTTTATTCATGTAAGGCTAGACAGAAGAATTCTCAGTAACTTCTTTGTATTGTGTGTATTCCACTGACAGAGTTGACCCTTCCTTTAGACAGAGCACATTTGAACCACTCTTTTTGTGGAATTTGCAAGTGGAGATTTCAGACGCATTGAGGTCAATGGTAGAAAAGGAAATATCTTCGTATAAAAACTAGACAGAATGATTCTCAGAACCTGCTTCGTGATGTGTGTGTTCAGTTCAAAGAGTTTTACCTTTCTTTTCATAGAGCAGTTAGGAAACACTCTGTTTGAACAGTCTGAAAGTGGATATTCCGATCTCTTTGAGGCCTTTGTTGGAAAAGGGATTTCTTCATATAATGCTAGACAGAGGAATTCTCAGTAACTTCTCTGTGTTGTGTGTATTCAAATCACAGAGTTGAACGTTCCTTTAGACAGAGCAGACTTGAAACACTCTTTTTGTGGAATTTGCAATAGGAAATTTCAAGCGCTTTGAGGCCAAAGGCAGAAGAGGAAATATCTTCGTATAAAAACAAGTCAGAATCATTCTCAGAAACTGCTTAATCATGTGTGCGTTCGACTCACGGAGTTTAACCTACCTTTTCATACAGCAGTTTGGAAACACTCTGTTTGTAAAGTCTGCACGTGGATATTTGGACATCTTTGAGGCCTTCGTTGGAAACGGGTTTTATTCATGTAAGGCTAGACAGAAGATTTCTCAGTAACTTCTTTGTGTTGTGTGTATTCAACTGACAGAGTTGACCCTTCTTTTAGGTAGAGCAGATTTGAGACACTCTTTTTGTGGAATTTGCAAGTGGAGATTTCAGACGCTTTGAGGTCAATGGTAGAAAAGGACATTTCTTCGTATAAAAACTTGACAGAATGATTCTCAGAAACTGCTTTGTGATGTATGCGTTCAATTCAAAGAGTTCTACCTTTCTTTTCATAGAGCACTTAGGAAACACTCTGTTTGTAAAGACTGCAAGTGGATATTCGGACCTCTATGAGGCCTTCTTTGGAAAAGGGATTTCTTCATATAATGCTAGACAGAGGAATTCTTCGTAACTTCTTTGTATTGTGTGTATTCAACTCACAGAGTTGAACCTTCTTTTAGATAGAGCAGATTTGAAACACACTTTTTGTGGAATTTCCAATTGGAGATTTCAAGCGCTTCGGGGCCAATGGTAGAAAAGGAAAAATCTTCACATAAAAACTAGACAAAATCATTCCCAGAAACTGTGTAGTGATGTGTATGTTTAACTCACAGAGTTTATCCTTTCTTTTCATAGAGCAGTTGGGAAACACTCTGTTTGAAAAGTCTGCATGTGGATATTTGGACCGCCATGAGGCGTTCTTTGGAAATGGTATTTCTTCATTTAAGGCTACACAGAAGAAGTCTCAGTAACTTCCTTGTGTTGTGTGTATTCAGCTCACAGAGTTGAACCTTCTTTTAGATAGAGCAGATTTGAAAGACACTTTTTGGGGAATTTGCAAGTGGGGATTTCAAGCGCTTTGAGGCCAACGGTAGAAAAGGAAATATCTTCGAATAAAAAGTAGACAGAATCATTCCCAGAAACTGCGTTTTGATGTGTGCGTTCACCTAACAGAGTTTAACCTTCCTTTTCATAGAGCAGTTGGGAAACGCTATGTTTGTAAAGTCTGCAAGTGGATATTGGGAACTCTTTGAGGCCTTCATTGGGAATGGGGTTTCTTCATATAATGCTAGACAGAAGATTTCCCAGTAACTTCTTCCTGTTGTGTGTATTCAACTGACAACAGATGAACCTTCCTTTAGAGAGAGCAGATTTGAAACACTCTTTTTGTGGAATTTGCAAGTGGAGATTTCAGCCGCTTTAACGTCAATGGTAGAAAAGGAAATATCTTCGCATAAAAACAAGACAGAATCATTTTCAGAAACTGCTTTGTGATGTGTGCATTCAACTCACAGAGTTTAACCTTTGTTTTCATAGAGCCGTTTGGAAACACACAGTTTGTCTAACCTATAAGTCGATATTCGGACCTATATGAGGCCTTCGTTGGAAACGGGATTTCTTCATATAATGCTAGAAAGAAGAATTCTCAGTAACTTCCGTGTGTTGTGTGTAATCAACTCACAGAATAGAACGTTCCTTTAGATAGAGCAGATTTGAAACACTCTTTTTGTGGAATTTGCACGTGGAGATTTCAAGCGCTTTGTGGCCAGTGGTAGAAAATGAAATATCTTCGTATAAAAAGTACACAGAATCATTCTCAGAAACTACTTTCTGATGTGTGCGTTCAACTCACAGAGTTTAAACTTTCTTTTCATAGAGCAGTTTGGAAACAGTGTTTTTGTAAAGTCTGCAAGTGGATATTCGAACCTCTTTGGCGCCTTATTTTGAAACGGGGTTTCTCCATATAATGCTAGACAGAAGAATTCTCGGTAACTTGTATGTGTTGTGTGTGTTCAACTCACAGAGTTGAACCTTCCTTTAGACAGAGCAGATTTGAAACACTCTTTTTGTGGAATTTGCAAGTGGAGATTTCAAGCGCTTTGAGGCCAAAGGCAGAAAAGGAAATATCTTCGTATAAAAACTAGATAGATCATTCTCAGAAACTGCTTTGTGATGTGTGCGTTCAACTCACAGAGTTTCACTTATCTTTTCGTACAGCAGTTTGGAGACACTCTGTTTGTAATGTCTGCAAGTGGATATTTTGACCTCTTTGAGGTCTTCGTTGGAAACGGGTTTTATTCATGTAAGGCTAGACAGAAGAATTCTCAGTAACTTCTTTGTATTGTGTGTATTCCACTGACAGAGTTGACCCTTCCTTTAGACAGAGCACATTTGAACCACTCTTTTTGTGGAATTTGCAAGTGGAGATTTCAGACGCATTGAGGTCAATGGTAGAAAAGGAAATATCTTCGTATAAAAACTAGACAGAATGATTCTCAGAAACTGCTTCGTGATGTGTGTGTTCAGTTCAAAGAGTTTTACCTTTCTTTTCATAGAGCAGTTAGGAAACACTCTGTTTGAACAGTCTGAAAGTTGATATCCTGATCTCTTTGAGGCCTTCGTTGGAAAAGGGATTTCTTCATATAATGCTAGACAGAGGAATTCTCAGTAACTTCTCTGTGTTGTGTGTATTCAAATCACAGAGTTGAACGTTCCTTTAGACAGAGCAGACTTGAAACACTCTTTTTGTGGAATTTGCAATAGGAAATTTCAAGCGCTTTGAGGCCAAAGGCAGAAGAGGAAATATCTTCGTATAAAAACAAGTCAGAATCATTCTCAGAAACTGCTTAATCATGTGTGCGTTCGACTCACGGAGTTTAACCTACCTTTTCATACAGCAGTTTGGAAACACTCTGTTTGTAAAGTCTGCACGTGGATATTTGGACATCTTTGAGGCCTTCGTTGGAAACGGGTTTTATTCATGTAAGGCTAGACAGAAGATTTCTCAGTAACTTCTTTGTGTTGTGTGTATTCAACTGACAGAGTTGACCCTTCTTTTAGGTAGAGCAGATTTGAGACACTCTTTTTGTGGAATTTGCAAGTGGAGATTTCAGACGCTTTGAGGTCAATGGTAGAAAAGGACATTTCTTCGTATAAAAACTTGACAGAATGATTCTCAGAAACTGCTTTGTGATGTATGCGTTCAATTCAAAGAGTTCTACCTTTCTTTTCATAGAGCACTTAGGAAACACTCTGTTTGTAAAGACTGCAAGTGGATATTCGGACCTCTATGTGGCCTTCTTTGGAAAAGGGATTTCTTCATATAATGCTAGACAGAGGAATTCTTCGTAACTTCTTTGTATTGTGTGTATTCAACTCACAGAGTTGAACCTTCTTTTAGATAGAGCAGATTTGAAACACACTTTCTGTGGAATTTCCAATTGGAGATTTCAAGCGCTTCGGGGCCAATGGTAGAAAAGGAAAAATCTTCACATAAAAACTAGACAAACTCATTCCTAGAAACTGTGTAGTGATGTGTATGTTTAACTCACAGAGTTTATCCTTTCTTTTCATAGAGCAGTTGGGAAACACTCTGTTTGAAAAGTCTGCATGTGGATATTTGGACCGCCATGAGGCGTTCTTTGAAATGGTATTTCTTCATTTAAGGCTACACAGAAGAATTCTCAGTAACTTCCTTGTGTTGTGTGTATTCAGCTCACAGAGTTGAACCTTCTTTTAGATAGAGCAGATTTGAAAGACACTTTTTGGGGAATTTGCAAGTGGGGATTTCAAGCGCTTTGAGGCCAACGGTAGAAAAGGAAATATCTTCGAATAAAAAGTAGACAGAATCATTCCCAGAAACTGCGTTTTGATGTGTGCGTTCACCTAACAGAGTTTAACCTTCCTTTTCATAGAGCAGTTGGGAAACGCTATGTTTGTAAAGTCTGCAAGTGGATATTGGGAACTCTTTGAGGCCTTCATTGGGAATGGGGTTTCTTCATATAATGCTAGACAGAAGATTTCCCAGTAACTTCTTCCTGTTGTGTGTATTCAACTGACAACAGATGAACCTTCCTTTAGAGAGAGCAGATTTGAAACACTCTTTTTGTGGAAGTTGCAAGTGGAGATTTCAGCCGCTTTAACGTCAATGGTAGAAAAGGAAATATCTTCGCATAAAAACAAGACAGAATCATTTTCAGAAACTGCTTTGTGATGTGTGCATTCAACTCACAGAGTTTAACCTTTGTTTTCATAGAGCCGTTTGGAAACACACAGCTTGTCAAATCTGTAAGTCGATATTCGGACCTATTTGAGGCCTTCGTTGGAAACGGGATTTCTTCATATAATGCTAGAAAGAAGAATTCTCAGTAACTTCCTTGTGTTGTGTGTAATCAACTCACAGAATAGAACGTTCCTTTAGATAGAGCAGATTTGAAACACTCTTTTTGTGGAAGTTGCACGTGGAGATTTCAAGTGCTTTGTGGCCAGTGGTAGAAAATGAAATATCTTCGTATAAAAAGTACACAGAATCATTCTCAGAAACTACTTTCTGATGTGTGCGTTCAACTCTCGGAGTTTAAACTTTCTTTTCATAGAGCAGTTTGGAAACAGTGTGTTTGTAAAGTCTGCAAGTGGATATTCGGACCTCTTTGGCGCCTTATTTTGAAACGGGGTTTCTCCATATAATGCTAGACAGAAGAATTCTCAGTAACTTGTTTGTGTTGTGTGTGTTCAACTCACAGAGTTGAACCTTCCTTTAGACAGAGCAGATTTGAAACACTCTTTTTGTGGAATTTGCAAGTGGAGATTTCAAGCGCTTTGAGGCCAAAGGCAGAAAAGGAAATATCTTCGTATAATAACTAGATAGTCATTCTCAGAAACTGCTTTGTGATGTGTGCGTTCAACTCACAGAGTTTCACTTATCTTTTCGTACAGCAGTTTGGAGACACTCTGTTTGTAATGTCTGCAAGTGGATATTTTGACCTCTTTGAGGTCTTCGTTGGAAACGGGTTTTATTCATGTAAGGCTAGACAGAAGAATTCTCAGTAACTTATTTGTATTGTGTGTATTCCACTGACAGAGTTGACCCTTCCTTTAGACAGAGCACATTTGAACCACTCTTTTTGTGGAATTTGCAAGTGGAGATTTCAGACGCATTGAGGTCAATGGTAGAAAAGGAAATATCTTCGTGTAAAAACTAGACAGAATGATTCTCAGAACCTGCTTCGTGATGTGTGTGTTCAGTTCAAAGAGTTTTACCTTTCTTTTCATAGAGCAGTTAGGAAACACTCTGTTTGAACAGTCTGAAAGTGGATATTCCGATCTCTTTGAGGCCTTCGTTGGAAAAGGGATTTCTTCATATAATGCTAGACAGAGGAATTCTCAGTAACTTCTCTGTGTTGTGTGTATTCAAATCACAGAGTTGAACGTTCCTTTAGACAGAGCAGACTTGAAACACTCTTTTTGTGGAATTTGCAATAGGAAATTTCAAGCGCTTTGACGCCAAAGGCAGAAGAGGAAATATCTTCGTATAAAAACAAGTCAGAATCATTCTCAGAAACTGCTTAATCATGTGTGCGTTCGACTCACCGAGTTTAACCTACCTTTTCATAAAGCAGTTTGGAAACACTCTGTTTGTAAAGTCTGTACGTGGATATTTGGACATCTTTGAGGCCTTCGTTGGAAACGGGTTTTATTCATGTAAGGCTAGACAGAAGATTTCTCAGTAACTTGTTTGTGTTGTGTGTATTCAACTGACAGAGTTGACCCTTCTTTTAGGTAGAGCAGATTTGACACACTCTTTTTGTGGAATTTGCAAGTGGAGATTTCAGACGCTTTGAGGTCAATGGTAGAAAAGGACATTTCTTCGTATAAAAACTTGACAGAATGATTCTCAGAAACTGCTTTGTGATGTATGCGTTCAATTCAAAGAGTTCTACCTTTCTTTTCATAGAGCACTTAGGAAACACTCTGTTTGTTAAGACTGCAAGTGGATATTCGGACCTCTATGAGGCCTTCTTTGGAAAAGGGATTTCTTCATATAATGCTAGACAGAGGAATTCTTCGTAACTTCTTTGTATTGTGTGTATTCAACTCACAGAGTTGAACCTTCTTTTAGATAGAGCAGATTTGAAACACACTTTTTGTGGAATTTCCAATTGGAGATTTCAAGCGCTTCGGGGCCAATGGTAGAAAAGGAAAAATCTTCACATAAAAACTAGACAAACTCATTCCCAGAACCGGTGTAGTGATGTGTATGTTTAACTCACAGAGTTTATCCTTTCTTTTCATAGTGCAGTTGGGAAACACTCTGTTTGAAAAGTCTGCATGTGGATATTTGGACCGCCATGAGGCGTTCTTTGGAAATGGTATTTCTTCATTTAAGGCTACAAAGAAGAATTCTCAGTAACTTCCTCGTGTTGTGTGTATTCAGCTCACAGAGTTGAACCTTCTTTTAGATAGAGCAGATTTGAAAGACACTTTTTGGGGAATTTGCAAGTGGGGATTTCAAGCGCTTTGAGGCCAACGGTAGAAAAGGAAATATCTTCGAATAAAAAGTAGACAGAATCATTCCCAGAAACTGCGTTTTGATGTGTGCGTTCACCTAACAGAGTTTAACCTTCCTTTTCATAGAGCAGTTGGGAAACGCTATGTTTGTAAAGTCTGCAAGTGGATATTGGGAACTCTTTGAGGCCTTCATTGGGAATGGGGTTTCTTCATATAATGCTAGACAGAAGATTTCCCAGTAACTTCTTCCTGTTGTGTGTATTCAACTGACAACAGATGAACCTTCCTTTAGAGAGAGCAGATTTGAAACACTCTTTTTGTGGAAGTTGCAAGTGGAGATTTCAGCCGCTTTAACGTCAATGGTAGAAAAGGAAATATCTTCGCATAAAAACAAGACAGAATCATTTTCAGAAACTGCTTTGTGATGTGTGCATTCAACTCACAGAGTTTAACCTTTGTTTTCATAGAGCCGTTTGGAAACACACAGTTTGTCAAATCTGTAAGTCGATATTCGGACCTATTTGAGGCCTTCGTTGGAAACGGGATTTCTTCATATAATGCTAGAAAGAAGAATTCTCAGTAACTTCCTTGTGTTGTGTGTAATCAACTCACAGAATAGAACGTTCCTTTAGATAGAGCAGATTTGAAACACTCTTTTTGTGGAAGTTGCACGTGGAGATTTCAAGCGCTTTGTGGCCAGTGGTAGAAAATGAAATATCTTCGTATAAAAAGTACACAGAATCATTCTCAGAAACTACTTTCTGATGTGTGCGTTCAACTCTCGGAGTTTAAACTTTCTTTTCATAGAGCAGTTTGGAAACAGTGTGTTTGTAAAGTCTGCAAGTGGATATTCGGACCTCTTTGGCGCCTTAATTTGAAACGGGGTTTCTCCATATAATGCTAGACAGAAGAATTCTCAGTAACTTGTTTGTGTTGTGTGTGTTCAACTCACAGAGTTGAACCTTCCTTTAGACAGAGCAGATTTGAAACACTCTTTTTGTGGAATTTGCAAGTGGAGATTTCAAGCGCTTTGAGGCCAAAGGCAGAAAAGGAAATATCTTCGTATAAAAACTAGATAGAATCATTCTCAGAAACTGCTTTGTGATGTGTGCGTTCAACTCACAGAGTTTCACTTATCTTTTCGTACAGCAGTTTGGAAACACTCTGTTTGTAATGTCTGCAAGTGGATATTTTGACCTCTTTGAGGTCTTCGTTGGAAACGGGTTTTATTCATGTAAGGCTAGACAGAAGAATTCTCAGTAACTTCTTTGTATTGTGTGTATTCCACTGACAGAGTTGACCCTTCCTTTAGACAGAGCACATTTGAACCACTCTTTTTGTGGAATTTGCAAGTGGAGATTTCAGACGCATTGAGGTCAATGGTAGAAAAGGAAATATCTTCGTATAAAAACTAGACAGAATGATTCTCAGAACCTGCTTCGTGATGTGTGTGTTCAGTTCAAAGAGTTTTACCTTTCTTTTCATAGAGCAGTTAGGAAACACTCTGTTTGAACAGTCTGAAAGTGGATATTCCGATCTCTTTGAGGCCTTTGTTGGAAAAGGGATTTCTTCATATAATGCTAGACAGAGGAATTCTCAGTAACTTCTCTGTGTTGTGTGTATTCAAATCACAGAGTTGAACGTTCCTTTAGACAGAGCAGACTTGAAACACTCTTTTTGTGGAATTTGCAATAGGAAATTTCAAGCGCTTTGAGGCCAAAGGCAGAAGAGGAAATATCTTCGTATAAAAACAAGTCAGAATCATTCTCAGAAACTGCTTAATCATGTGTGCGTTCGACTCACGGAGTTTAACCTACCTTTTCATACAGCAGTTTGGAAACACTCTGTTTGTAAAGTCTGCACGTGGATATTTGGACATCTTTGAGGCCTTCGTTGGAAACGGGTTTTATTCATGTAAGGCTAGACAGAAGATTTCTCAGTAACTTCTTTGTGTTGTGTGTATTCAACTGACAGAGTTGACCCTTCTTTTAGGTAGAGCAGATTTGAGACACTCTTTTTGTGGAATTTGCAAGTGGAGATTTCAGACGCTTTGAGGTCAATGGTAGAAAAGGACATTTCTTCGTATAAAAACTTGACAGAATGATTCTCAGAAACTGCTTTGTGATGTATGCGTTCAATTCAAAGAGTTCTACCTTTCTTTTCATAGAGCACTTAGGAAACACTCTGTTTGTAAAGACTGCAAGTGGATATTCGGACCTCTATGTGGCCTTCTTTGGAAAAGGGATTTCTTCATATAATGCTAGACAGAGGAATTCTTCGTAACTTCTTTGTATTGTGTGTATTCAACTCACAGAGTTGAACCTTCTTTTAGATAGAGCAGATTTGAAACACACTTTCTGTGGAATTTCCAATTGGAGATTTCAAGCGCTTCGGGGCCAATGGTAGAAAAGGAAAAATCTTCACAAAAAAACTAGACAAAATCATTCCCAGAAACTGTGTAGTGATGTGTATGTTTAACTCACAGAGTTTATCCTTTCTTTTCATAGAGCAGTTGGGAAACACTCTGTTTGAAAAGTCTGCATGTGGATATTTGGACCGCCATGAGGCGTTCTTTGGAAATGGTATTTCTTCATTTAAGGCTACACAGAAGAATTCTCAGTAACTTCCTTGTGTTGTGTGTATTCAGCTCACAGAGTTGAACCTTCTTTTAGATAGAGCAGATTTGAAAGACACTTTTTGGGGAATTTGCAAGTGGGGATTTCAAGCGCTTTGAGGCCAACGGTAGAAAAGGAAATATCTTCGAATAAAAAGTAGACAGAATCATTCCCAGAAACTGCGTTTTGATGTGTGCGTTCACCTAACAGAGTTTAACCTTCCTTTTCATAGAGCAGTTGGGAAACGCTATGTTTGTAAAGTCTGCAAGTGGATATTGGGAACTCTTTGAGGCCTTCATTGGGAATGGGGTTTCTTCATATAATGCTAGACAGAAGAATTCTCAGTAACTTCCTTGTGTTGTGTGTAATCAACTCACAGAATAGAACGTTCCTTTAGATAGACCAGATTTGAAACACTCTTTTTGTGGAAGTTGCACGTGGAGATTTCAGCCGCTTTAACGTCAATGGTAGAAAAGCAAATATCTTCGCATAAAAACAAGACAGAATCATTTTCAGAAACTGCATTGTGATGTGTGCATTCAACTCACAGAGTTTAACCTTTGTTTTCATAGAGCCGTTTGGAAACACACAGTTTGTCAAATCTGTAAGTCGATATTCGGACCTATTTGAGGCCTTCGTTGGAAACGGGATTTCTTCATATAATGCTAGAAAGAAGAATTCTCAGTAACTTCCTTGTGTTGTGTGTAATCAACTCACAGAATAGAACGTTCCTTTAGATAGACCAGATTTGAAACACTCTTTTTGTGGAAGTTGCACGTGGAGATTTCAAGCGCTTTGTGGCCAGTGGTAGAAAATGAAATATCTTCGTATAAAAAGTACACAGAATCATTCTCAGAAACTACTTTCTGATGTGTGTGTTCAACTCTCGGAGGTTAAACTTTCTTTTCATAGAGCAGTTTGGAAACAGTGTGTTTGTAAAGTCTGCAAGTGGATATTCGGACCTCTTTGGCGCCTTATTTTGAAACGGGTTTTCTCCATATAATGCTAGACAGAAGAATTCTCAGTAACTTGTTTGTGTTGTGTGTGTTCAACTCACAGAGTTGAACCTTCCTTTAGACAGAGCAGATTTGAAACACTCTTTTTGTGGAATTTGCAAGTGGAGATTTCAAGCGCTTTGAGGCCAAAGGCAGAAAAGGAAATATCTTCGTATAAAAACTAGATAGTCATTCTCAGAAACTGCTTTGTGATGTGTGCGTTCAACTCACAGAGTTTCACTTATCTTTTCGTACAGCAGTTTGGAAACACTCTGTTTGTAATGTCTGCAAGTGGATATTTTGACCTCTTTGAGGTCTTCGTTGGAAACGGGTTTTATTCATGTAAGGCTAGACAGAAGAATTCTCAGTAACTTCTTTGTATTGTGTGTATTCCACTGACAGAGTTGACCCTTCCTTTAGACAGAGCACATTTGAACCACTCTTTTTGTGGAATTTGCAAGTGGAGATTTCAGACGCATTGAGGTCAATGGTAGAAAAGGAAATATCTTTGTATAAAAACTAGACAGAATGATTCTCAGAACCTGCTTCGTGATGTGTGTGTTCAGTTCAAAGAGTTTTACCTTTCTTTTCATAGAGCAGTTAGGAAACACTCTGTTTGAACAGTCTGAAAGTGGATATTCCGATCTCTTTGAGGCCTTCGTTGGAAAAGGGATTTCTTCATATAATGCTAGACAGAGGAATTCTCAGTAACTTCTCTGTGTTGTGTGTATTCAAATCACAGAGTTGAACGTTCCTTTAGACAGAGCAGACTTGAAACACTCTTTTTGTGGAATTTGCAATAGGAAATTTCAAGCGCTTTGAGGCCAAAGGCAGAAGAGGAAATATCTTCGTATAAAAACAAGTCAGAATCATTCTCAGAAACTGCTTAATCATGTGTGCGTTCGACTCACGGAGTTTAACCTACCTTTTCATACAGCAGTTTGGAAACACTCTGTTTGTAAAGTCTGCACGTGGATATTTGGACATCTTTGAGGCCTTCGTTGGAAACGGGTTTTATTCATGTAAGGCTAGACAGTAGATTTCTCAGTAACTTCTTTGTGTTGTGTGTATTCAACTGACAGAGTTGACCCTTCTTTTAGGTAGAGCAGATTTGAGACACTCTTTTTGTGGAATTTGCAAGTGGAGATTTCAGACGCTTTGAGGTCAATGGTAGAAAAGGACATTTCTTCGTATAAAAACTTGACAGAATGATTCTCAGAAACTGCTTTGTGATGTATGCATTCAATTCAAAGAGTTTTACCTTTGTTTTCATAGAGCACTTAGGAAACAATCTGTTTGTAAAGACTGCAAGTGGATATTCGGATCTCTATGAGGCCTTCTTTGGAAAAGGGATTTCTTCATATAATGCTAGACAGAGGAATTCTTAGTAACTTCTTTGTATTGTGTGTATTCAACTCACAGAGTTGAACCTTCTTTTAGATAGAGTAGATTTGAAACACACTTTTTGTGGAATTTCCAATTGGAGATTTCAAGCGCTTTGTGGCCAATGGTAGAAAAGGAAAAATCTTCACATAAAAACTAGACAAAATCATTCCCAGAAACTGTGTAGTGATGTGTATGTTTAACTCACAGAGTTTAACCTTTCTTTTCATAGAGCAGTTGGGAAACGCTCTGTTTGAAAAGTTTGCCTGTGGATATTTGGACCGCCATGAGGCGTTCTTTGGAAATGGTATTTCTTCATTTAAGGCTACACAGAAGAATTCTCAGTAACTTCCTTGTGTTGTGTGTATTCAGCTCACAGAGTTGAACCTTCTTTTAGATAGAGCAGATTTGAAAGACACTTTTTGGAGAATTTGCAAGTGGAGATTTCAAGCGCTTTGAGGCCAACGGTAGAAAAGGAAATATCTTCGAATAAAAAGTAGACAGAATCATTCCCAGAAACTGCGTTTTGATGTGTGCGTTCACCTAACAGAGTTTAACCTTCCTTTTCATAGAGCAGTTGGGAAACGCTATGTTTGTAAAGTCTGCAAGTGGATATTGGGAACTCTTTGAGGCCTTCATTGGGAATGGGGTTTCTTCATATAATGCTAGACAGAAGATTTCCCAGTAACTTCTTCCTGTTGTGTGTATTCAACTGACAACAGATGAACCTTCCTTTAGAGAGAGCAGATTTGAAACACTCTTTTTGTGGAAGTTGCAAGTGGAGATTTCAGCCGCTTTAACGTCAATGGTAGAAAAGGAAATATCTTCGCATAAAAACAAGACAGAAATCATTTTCAGAAACTGCTTTGTGATGTGTGCATTCAACTCACAGAGTTTAACCTTTGTTTTCCTAGAGCCGTTTGGAAACACACAGTTTGTCAAATCTGTAAGTCGATATTCGGACCTATTTGAGGCCTTCGTTGGAAACGGGATTTCTTCATATAATGCTAGAAAGAAGAATTCTCAGTAACTTCCTTGTGTTGTGTGTAATCAACTCACAGAATAGAACGTTCCTTTAGATAGAGCAGATTTGAAACACTCTTTTTGTGGAAGTTGCACGTGGAGATTTCAAGCGCTTTGTGGCCAGTGGTAGAAAATGAAATATCTTCGTATAAAAAGTACACAGAATCATTCTCAGAAACTACTTTCTGATGTGTGCGTTCAACTCTCGGAGTTTAAACTTTCTTTTCATAGAGCAGTTTGGAAACAGTGTGTTTGTAAAGTCTGCAAGTGGATATTCGGACCTCTTTGGCGCCTTATTTTGAAACGGGGTTTCTCCATGTAATGCTAGACAGAAGAATTCTCAGTAACTTGTTTGTGTTGTGTGTGTTCAACTCACAGAGTTGAACCTTCCTTTAGACAGAGCAGATTTGAAACACTCTTTTTGTGGAATTTGCAAGTGGAGATTTCAAGCGCTTTGAGGCCAAAGGCAGAAAAGGAAATATCTTCGTATAAAAACTAGATAGATCATTCTCAGAAACTGCTTTGTGATGTGTGCGTTCAACTCACAGAGTTTCACTTATCTTTTCGTACAGCAGTTTGCAAACACTCTGTTTGTAATGTCTGCAAGTGGATATTTGGACCTCTTTGAGGTCTTCGTTGGAAACGGGTTTTATTCATGTAAGGCTAGACAGAAGAATTCTCAGTAACTTCTTTGTATTGTGTGTATTCCACTGACAGAGTTGACCCTTTCTTTAGACAGAGCACATTTGAACCACTCTTTTTGTGGAATTTGCAAGTGGAGATTTCAGACGCATTGAGGTCAATGGTAGAAAAGGAAATATCTTCGTATAAAAACTAGACAGAATGATTCTCAGAACCTGCTTCGTGATGTGTGTGTTCAGTTCAAAGAGTTTTACCTTTCTTTTCATAGAGCAGTTAGAAAACACTCTGTTTGAACAGTCTGAAAGTGGATATTCCGATCTCTTTGAGGCCTTCATTGGAAAAGGGATTTCTTCATATAATGCTAGACAGAGGAATTCTCAGTAACTTCTCTGTGTTGTGTGTATTCAAATCACAGAGTTGAACGTTCCTTTAGGCAGAGCAGACTTGAAACACTCTTTTTGTGGAATTTGCAATAGGAAATTTCAAGCGCTTTGAGGCCAAAGGCAGAAGAGGAAATATCTTCGTATAAAAACAAGTCAGAATCATTCTCAGAAACTGCTTAATCATGTGTGCGTTCGACTCACGGAGTTTAACCTACCTTTTCATACAGCAGTTTGGAAACACTCTGTTTGTAAAGTCTGCACGTGGATATTTGGACATCTTTGAGGCCTTCGTTGGAAACGGGTTTTATTCATGTAAGGCTAGACAGAAGATTTCTCTGTAACTTCTTTGTGTTGTGTGTATTCAACTGACAGAGTTGACCCTTCTTTTAGGTAGAGCAGATTTGAGACACTCTTTTTGTGGAATTTGCAAGTGGAGATTTCAGACGCTTTGAGGTCAATGGTAGAAAAGGACATTTCTTCATATAAAAACTTGACAGAATGATTCTCAGAAACTGCTTTGTGATGTATGCGTTCAATTCAAAGAGTTCTACCTTTCTTTTCATAGAGCACTTAGGAAACACTCTGTTTGTAAAGACTGCAAGTGGATATTCGGACCTCTATGAGGCCTTCTTTGGAAAAGGGATTTCTTCATATAATGCTAGACAGAGGAATTCTTCGTAACTTCTTTGTATTGTGTGTATTCAACTCACAGAGTTGAACCTTCTTTTAGATAGAGCAGATTTGAAACACACTTTCTGTGGAATTTCCAATTGGAGATTTCAAGCGCTTCAGGGCCAATGGTAGAAAAGGAAAAATCTTCACATAAAAACTAGACAAACTCATTCCCAGAACCGGTGTAGTGATGTGTATGTTTAACTCACAGAGTTTATCCTTTCTTTTCATAGAGCAGTTGGGAAACACTCTGTTTGAAAAGTCTGCATGTGGATATTTGGACCGCCATGAGGCGTTCTTTGGAAATGGTGTTTCTTCATTTAAGGCTACACAGAAGAATTCTCAGTAACTTCCTTGTGTTGTGTGTATTCAGCTCACAGAGTTGAACCTTCTTTTAGATAGAGCAGATTTGAAAGACACTTTTTGGGGAATTTGCAAGTGGGGATTTCAAGCGCTTTGAGGCCAACGGTAGAAAAGGAAATATCTTCGAATAAAAAGTAGACAGAATCATTCCCAGAAACTGCGTTTTGATGTGTGCGTTCACGTAACAGAGTTTAACCTTCCTTTTCATAGAGCAGTTGGGAAACGCTATGTTTGTAAAGTCTGCAAGTGGATATTGGGAACTCTTTGAGGCCTTCATTGGGAATGGGGTTTCTTCATATAATGCTAGACAGAAGATTTCCCAGTAACTTCTTCCTGTTGTGTGTATTCAACTGACAACAGATGAACCTTCCTTTACAGAGAGCAGATTTGAAACACTCTTTTTGTGGAAGTTGCAAGTGGAGATTTCAGCCTCTTTAACGTCAATGGTAGAAAAGGAAATATCTTTGCATAAAAACAAGACAGAATCATTTTCAGAAACTGCTTTGTGATGTGTGCATTCAACTCACAGAGATTAACCTTTGTTTTCCTAGAGCCGTTTGGAAACAAACAGTTTTTCAAATCTGTAAGTCGATATTCGGACCTATTAGAGGCCTTCGTTGGAAACGGGATTTCTTCATATAATGCTAGAAAGAAGAATTCTCAGTAACTTCCTTGTGTTGTGTGTTATCAACTCACAGAATGGAAACTTCCTTTAGATAGAGCAGATTTGAAACACTCTTTTTGTGGAAGTTGCACGTGGAGATTTCAAGCGCTTTGTGGCCAGTGGTAGAATATGAAATATCTTCGTATAAAAAGTACACAGAATCATTCTCAGAAACTACTTTCTGATGTGTGCGTTCAACTCTCGGAGTTTAAACTTTCTTTTCATAGAGCAGTTTGGAAACAGTGTGTTTGTAAAGTCTGCAAGTGGATATTCGGACCTCTTTGGCGCCTTATTTTGAAACGGGGTTTCTCCATATAATGCTAGACAGAAGAATTCTCAGTAACTTGTTTGTGTTGTGTGTGTTCAACTCACAGAGTTGAACCTTCCTTTAGACAGAGCAGATTTGAAACACTCTTTTTGTGGAATTTGCAAGTGGAGATTTCAAGCGTTTGAGGCCAAAGGCAGAAAAGGAAATATCTTCGTATAAAAACTAGATAGAATCATTCTCAGAAACTGCTTTGTGATGTGTGCGTTCAACTCACAGAGTTTCACATATCTTTTCGTACAGCAGTTTGGAAACACTCTGTTTGTAATGGATGCAAGTGGATATTTTGACCTCTTTGAGGTCTTCGTTGGAAACGGGTTTTATTCATGTAAGGCTAGACAGAAGAATTCTCAGTAACTTCTTTGTATTGTGTGTATTCCACTGACAGAGTTGACACTTCCTTTAGACAGAGCACATTTGAACCACTCTTTTTGTGGAATTTACAAGTGGAGATTTCAGACGCATTGAGGTCAATGGTAGAAAAGGAAATATCTTCGTATAAAAACTAGACAGAATGATTCTCAGAACCTGCTTCGTGATGTGTGTGTTCAGTTCAAAGAGTTTTACCTTTCTTTTCATAGAGCAGTTAGGAAACACTCTGTTTGAACAGTCTGAAAGTGGATATTACGTTCTCTTTGAGGCCTTCGTTGGAAAAGGGATTTCTTCATATAATGCTAGACAGAGGAATTCTCAGTAACTTCTCTGTGTTGTGTGTATTCAAATCACAGAGTTGAGCGTTCCTTTAGACAGAGCAGAATTGAAACACTCTTTTTGTGGAATTTGCAATAGGAAATTTCAAGCGCTTTGAGGCCAAAGGCAGAAGAGGAAATATCTTCGTATAAAAACAAGTCAGAATCATTCTCAGAAACTGCTTAATCATGTGTGCGTTCGACTCACGGAGTTTAACCTACCTTTTCATACAGCAGTTTGGAAACACTCTGTTTGTAAAGTCTGCACGTGGATATTTGGACATCTTTGAGGCCTTCGTTGGAAACGGGTTTTATTCATGTAAGGTTAGACAGAAGATTTCTCAGTAACTTCTTTGTGTTGTGTGTATTCAACTGACAGAGTTGACCCTTCTTTTAGGTAGAGCAGATTTGAGACACTCTTTTTGTGGAATTTGCAAGTGGAGATTTCAGACGCTTTGAGGTCAATGGTAGAAAAGGACATTTCTTCGTATAAAAACTTGACAGAATGATTCTCAGAAACTGCTTTGTGATGTATGCGTTCAATTCAAAGAGTTCTACCTTTCTTTTCATAGAGCACTTAGGAAACACTCTGTTTGTAAAGACTGCAAGTGGATATTCAGACCTCTATGAGGCCTTCTTTGGAAAAGGGATTTCTTCATATAATGCTAGACAGAGGAATTCTTCGTAACTTCTTTGTATTGTGTGTATTCAACTCACAGAGTTGAACCTTCTTTTAGATAGAGCAGATTTGAAACACACTTTCTGTGGAATTTCCAATTGGAGATTTCAAGCGCTTCGGGGCCAATGGTAGAAAAGGAAAAATCTTCACATAAAAACTAGACAAAATCATTCCCAGAAACTGTGTAGTGATGTGTATGTTTAACTCACAGAGTTTATCCTTTCTTTTCATAGAGCAGTTGGGAAACACTCTGTTTGAAAAGGCTGCATGTGGATATTTGGACCGCCATGAGGCGTTCTTTGGAAATGGTATTTATTCATTTAAGGCTACACAGAAGAATTCTCAGTAACTTCCTTGTGTTGTGTGTATTCAGCTCACAGAGTTGAACCTTCTTTTAGATAGAGCAGATTTGAAAGACACTTTTTGGGGAATTTGCAAGTGGGGATTTCAAGCGCTTTGGGGCCAACGGTAGAAAAGGAAATATCTTCGAATAAAAAGTAGACAGAATCATTCCCAGAAAACTGCGTTTTGATGTGTGCGTTCACCTAACAGAGTTTAAACTTCCTTTTCATAGAGCAGTTGGGAAACGCTATGTTTGTAAAGTCTGCAAGTGGATATTGGGAACTCTTTGAGGCCTTCATTGGGAATGGGGTTTCTTCATATAATGCTAGACAGAAGATTTCCCAGTAACTTCTTCCTGTTGTGTGTATTCAACTGACAACAGATGAACCTTCCTTTAGAGAGAGCAGATTTGAAACACTCTTTGTGTGGAATTTGCAAGTGGAGATTTCAGCCGCTTTAACGTCAATGGTAGAAAAGGAAATATCTTCGCATAAAAACTAGACAGAATCATTTTCAGAAACTGCTCTGTGATGGGTGCATTCAACTCACAGAGTTTAACCTTTGTTTTCATAGAGCCGTTTGGAAACACACAGTTTGTCAAATCTGTGAGTCGATATTCGGACCTATTTGAGGCCTTCGTTGGAAACGGGATTTCTTCATATAATGCTAGAAAGAAGAATTCTCAGTAACTTCCTTGTGTTGTGTGTAATCAACTCACAGAATAGAACGTTCCTTTAGATAGAGCAGATTTGAAACACTCTTTTTGTGGAAGTTGCACGTGGAGATTTCAAGCGCTTTGTGGCCAGTGGTAGAAAATGAAATATCTTCGTATAAAAAGTACACAGA
>NC_000005.10:47296169-47300585 GCF_000001405.40 Homo sapiens
CTCTGTTTCTAACGTGTGCACGTGGATATTTTGACCTCTTTGAGGTCCTCCTTGGAAACGGGATTTTCATGTAAGGCTAGACAGAAGAATCCTCAGTAACCTCCTTGTGTTGTGTGTATTCAACTGACAGAGTTGAACTTTCATTTAGACAGAGCAGATTTGAAACACTCTTTTTGTGGAATTTGCAAGTGGACATTTCAAGCGCGTTGAGGCCAAAGGCAGAAAAGGAAATATCTTCGTATAAAAACTAGACAGAATCATTCTCAGAAAGTGCTCTGGGATGTGTGCGTTCAACTCTCAGTGTTTAACTTTTCCTTTCATTCAGCAGTTTGGAAACACACTGTAAAGTCTGCACGTGGATATTTTGACCACTTAGAGGCCTTCGTTGGAAACGGATTTTTTTCATGTAAGTCTAGACAGAAGAATTCCCGGTAACTTCCTTGTGTTGTGTGCATTCAACTCACAGAGTTGAACGTTCCCTTAGTCAGAGCAGATTTGAAACATTCTTTTTGTGCAATTTGCAAGTGGAGAATTCAAGCGCTTTAAGGTCAATGGCAGAAAAGGAAATATCTTAGTTTCAAAACTAGACACAATCATTCCCACAAACTGCGTTGTGATGTGTGCGTTCAACTCACAGAGTTTAACCTTTCTTTTCATAGAGCCGTTTGTAAACGCTCTGTTTGCCAAGTCTGCAAGTGGATATTCTGACATCTTGTGGACTTCGTTGGAAACGGGATTTCTTCATATTCTGCTAGACAGAAGAATTCTCAGAAACTTCCTTGTGTTCTGTGTATTCAACTCACAGAGTTGAACGATCCTTTACACAGAGCAGATTTGACACACTCTTTTTGTGGAATTTGCAAGTGGAGATTTCAGCCGCTTTGAGGTCCATGGTAGAAAAGGAAATATCTTCGTATAAAAACTAGACAGAATGATTCTCAGAAACTTCTTTGTGATGTGTGCGTTCAACTCACAGAGTTTAACCTTTCTTTTCATAGAGCAGTTAGGAAACACTCTGTTTGTAAATCAGCAAGTGGATATTCAGACCTCTTTGAGGCCTTCGTTGGAAACGGAATTTCTTCATATTATGCTAGACAGAGGAATTCTCAGTAACCTCCTTGTGTTGTGTGTACTCAACTCACAGAGTTGAACGATCCTTTACACAGAGCAGACTAGAATCACTCTTTTTGTGGAATTTGCAAGTGGAGATTTCAGCCGCTTTGAGGTCAATGGTAGAAAAGGAAATATCTTCGTATAAAAACTAGACAGAATGATTCCCAGAAACTCCTTTGTGATGTGTACGTTCAACTCACAGAGTTTAACCTTTCTTTTCATAGAGCAGTTAGGAAACACTCTGTTTGTAAACTCTGCAAGCGGATATTCAGACCGCTTTGAGGCCTTCGTTGGAAACGGGATTTCTTAATATTATGCTAGACAAAAGAATTCTCAGTAACTTCCTTGTGTCGTGTGTATTCAACTCACAGAGTTGAACGATCCTTTACACAGAGCAGACTAGAAACACTGTTTTTGTGGAATTTGCAAGTGGAGATTTCAGCCGCTTTGATGTCAATGGTAGAAAAGGGAATATCTTCGTATAAAAACTAGACAGAATGATTCTCAGAAACTCCTTTGTGATGTGTGCGTTCAACTCACAGAGTTTAACCTTTCTTTTCATAGAGCAGTGAGGAAACACTCTGTTTGTAACGTGTGCACGTGGATAATTTGACCTGTTTGAGGTCTTCGTTGGAAACGGGATTTTCATGTAAGGCTAGACAGAAGAATTCTCAGTAACTTCCTTGTGTTCTGTGTATTCAACTGACAGAGTTGAACTTTCATTTAGACAGAGCAGATTTGAAACACTCTTTTTGTGTAATTTGCAAGTGGAGATTTCAAGCGCTTTGAGGCCAAAGGCAGAAAAGTAAATATCTCCGTATAAAAACTAGACAGAATCATTCTCATAAACTGCTCTGGGATGTGTGTGTTCAACTCTCAGAGTTTAACTTTTCTTTTCATTCAGCAGTTTGGAAACACTCTGTTAGTAAAATCTGCACGTGGATATTTTGACCACTTAGAGGCCTTCGTTGGAAACGGGTTTTTTCCTGTAAGGCTAGACAGAAGAATTTCCAGTAACTTCCTTGTGTTGTGTATATTCAACTCACAGAGTTGAACGATCCTTTGAGCAGACTTGAAACACTTTTTTTGTGGAATTTGCAAGTGGAGATTTCAGCCGCTTTGAGGTCAATGGTAGAAAACGAAATATCTTCGAATAAAAACTAGACAGAATGATTCTCAGAAACTCCTTTATGATGTGTGCGTTCAACTCACAGGGTTTAACCTTTCTTTTCATAGAGCAGTTGGGAAACACTCTGTTTGTAAATTCTGAAAGTGGATATTCTGACATCTTGTGGCATTCGTTGGAAACGGGATTTCTTCATATTCTGCTAGACAGAAGAATTCTCAGTAACTTCCTTGTGTTGTGTGTATTCAACTCACAGAGTTGAACGTTGGTTTACACAGAGCAGATTTGAAACACTCTTTTTGTGGAATTTGCAAGTGGAGATTTCAGCCGCTTTGAAGTCAATGCTAGAAAAGGAAATATCTTCGTATAAAAACTAGACAGAATGATTCTCAGAAACTTCTTTGTGATGTGTGCGTTCAACTCACAGAGTTTAACCTTTCTTTTCATAGAGCAGTTAAGAAACACTCTGTTTTTAAACTCTGCAAGTGGATATTCAGACCTCTTTGAGGCCTTCGTTGGAAACGGGTTTTTTTCATATAAGGCTAGACAGGAGAATTCCCAGTAACTTCCTTGTGTTGTGTGTATTCAACTCACAGAATTGAACTTTCATTTACACAGAGCAGATTTGAAACACTCTTTTTGTGGTATTTGCAAGTGGAGATTTCAGCCGCTTTGCTGTCAATGATAGAAAAGGAAATAACTTCGTATAAAAACTAGACAGAATGATTCTCAGAAACTTCTTTGTGATGTGTGCGTTCAACTCACAGAGTTTAACCTTTCTTTTCATAGAGCAGTTAGGAAACACTCTTTTTGTAAACTCTGCAAGTGGATATTCAGACCTCTTTGAGGCCTTCGTTGGAAACGGGATTTCTTCATATTATGCCTGACAGAAGAATTCTCAGCAACTTCCTCGTGTTGTGTGTATTCAACTCACAGAGTTGAACGATCCTTTGAGCAGACTTGAAACACTCTTTTTGTGGAATTTGCAAGTGGAGATTTCAGCCGATTTGAGGTCAATGGTAGAAAAGGAAATATCTTCGAATAAAAATTAGACAGAATGATTCTCAGAAACTCCTTTCTGATGTGTGCGTTCAACTCACAGAGTTTAACCTTTCTTTTCATAGAGCAGTTAGGAAACACTCTGTAAACTCTGGAAGTGGATATTCAGACCTATTTGAGGCCTTCGTTGCAAACGGGATTTCTTCATATTATGCCTGACAGAAGAATTCTCAGCAACTTCCTTGTGTTGTGTGTATTCAACTGACAGAGTTTTACGATCCTTTGAGCAGACTTGAAACACTCTTTTTGTGGAATTTGCAAGTGGAGATTTCAGCCGCTTTCAGGTCAATGGTAGAAAAGGAAATATCTTCGAATAAAAACTAGACAGAATGATTCTCAGAAACGCCTTTATGATGTGTGCGTTCAACTCACAGAGTTTAAGCTTTCTTTTCATAGAGCAGTTAGGAAACACTCTATTTGTAAAGTCTGTAAGTGGATAATCAGACCTCTTTGAGGTCCTCGTTGGAAACGGGTTTTCTTCATATTCTGCTAGACAGAAGAATTCTCAGTAACTCCGTCGTGTTTTGTGTATTCAACTCACAGAGTTGAACGATCGTTTCCCCAGAGCAGACTTGAAACACTCTTTTTGTGGAATTTGCAAATGGAGATTTCAGCCGCTTTGAGGTCAATGGTTGAAAAGGAAATATCTTCATATAAAAATTAGACAGAATGATTCTCAGAAACTCCTTTGTGATGTGAGTGTTCAACTCACAGAGTTTAACTTTCCTTTCATAGAGCAGTTAGGAAACACTCTGTTTGTAAAGTCTGCAAGTGGATAATCAGACCTCTTTGAGGCCTTCGTTGGAAATGGGTTTTTTTCATGTAAGGCTAGACAGAAGAATTCTCTGTAACTTCCTTGTGTTGTGTGTATTCAACTGACAGAGTTGAACTTTCATATAGACAGAGCAGATTTGAAACACTCTTTTTGTGGAATTTGCAAGTGGAGATTTCAAGCGCTTTGAGTCCAAAGGCAGAAAAGGAAATATCTTCGTATAAAAAATAGACAGAATCATTCTCAGAAACTGCTCTGCGATGTGTGCGTTCAACTCTCAGAGTTTAACTTTTCTTTTCATTCAGCAGTTAGGAAACACTCTGTTTGTAAAGTCTGCAAGTGGATA
>NC_000005.10:47306086-47309084 GCF_000001405.40 Homo sapiens
TGTGTGTATCAACCTCACAGAGTTGACGATCCCTTTACACAGAGCAGACTTGAAACATTCTTTTTGTGGATTGGGCAAGTGGAGATTCAGCCCGCTTTGAGGTCAATGGTTGAAAAGGAAATATCTTCATATAAAATTAGAGAGAATGATTCTCAGAACTCCCTTTGTGATGTGTGCGTTCAACTCACAGAGTTTAACTTTCTTTTCATAGAGCAGTTAGGAAACACTCTGTTTGTAAAGTCTGCAAGTGGATATTCAGACCTCTTTGAGGCCTTCGTTGGAAACGGGATTTGTTCATACTATGCTAGACAGAAGAATTCTCAGTAACTTCCTTGTGTTTTGTGTATTCAACTCACGGAGTTGAACGATCCTTTACACAGAGCAGACTTGTAACACTCTTTTTGTGGAATTTGCAAGTGGAGATTTCAGCCGCTTTGAAGTCAAAGGTAGAAAAGGAAATATCTTTGTATAAAAACTAGACAGAATGATTCTCAGAAACTCCTTTGTGATGTGTGCGTTCAACTCACGGAGTTTAACCTTTCTTTTCATAGAGCAGTTAGGAAACACTCTGTTTGTAAAGTCTGCAAGTGGATATTCAGTCCTCTTTGAGGCCTTCGTTGGATACGGGTTTTTTTCATATAAGGCTAGACAGAAGAATTCCCAGTAAATTCCTTGTGTTGTGTGTATTCAACTCACAGGAGTTGAACTTTCATTTACACAGAGCAGATTTGAAACACTCTTTTTGTGGTACTTGCAAGTGGAGATTTCAGCCGCTTTGATGTCAATGATAGAAAAGGAAATATCTTCGTATAAAAACTAGACAGAATGATTCTCAGAAACTTCTTTCTGATGTGTGCATTCAACTCACAGAGTTTAACCTTTCTTTTCATAGAGCAGTTAGGAAACACTCAGTTTGTAAAGTCTGCAAGTGGATAATCCGACCTCTTTGGGCCTTCGTTGGAAACCGGATTTCTTCATATTATGTCTGACAGAAGAATTCTCAGCAACTTCCTTGTGTTGTGTGTATTCAACTCACAGAGTTGAACGATCCTTTGAGCAGACTTGAAACACTCTTTTTAGGGAATTTGCAAGTGGAGATTTCAGCCGCTTTGAGGTCAATGGTAGAAAAGGAAATATCTTCGAATAAAAACTAGACAGAATGATTCTCAGAAACTCCTTTAGGATGTGTGCGTTCAACTCACAGGGTTTAACCTTTCTTTTCATAGAGCACTTAGGAAACACTCTGTTTGTAAACTCTGCAAGTGGATATTCAGACCTCTTTGAGGCCTTCGTTGCAAACGGGATTCCTTCATATTATGGCTGACAGAAGAATTCTCAGTAACTTCCTCGTGTTGTGTGTATTCAACTCACAGAGTTGAACGATTCTTTGAGCAGACTTGAAACACTCTTTTTGTGGAATTTGCAAGTGGAGATTTTAGCCGCTTTGAGGTCAATGGTAGAAAAGGAAATATCTTCGAATAAAAACTAGACAGAATGATTCTCAGAAACTCCTTTATGATGTGTGCTTTCAACTCACAGAGTTTAACCTTTCTTTTCATAGAGCAGTTAGGAAACACTCTGTTTGTAAAGTCTGCAAGTGGATATTCAGACCTCTTTGAGGCCTTCGTTGGAAACGGGATTTCTTCATACTATGCTAGACAGAAGAATTCTCAGTAACTTCCTTGTGTTGTGTGTATTCAACTCACGGAGTTGAACTTTCATTTACACAGAGCAGATTTGAAACACTCTTGTTGTGGGATTTGCAAATGGAGATTTCAAGCGCTTTGAGGCCAAAGGCAGAAAAGGAAATATCTTCGTATAAAAACTAGACAGAATCATTCTCAGAAACTGCTCTGTGATGTGTGCATTCAGCTCTCAGAGTTTAACTTTTCTTTTCATTCAGCAGTTTGGAAACACTCTGTTTGTAAAGTCTGCACGTGGATAATTTGACCACTTAGAGGCCTTCGTTGGAAACGGGTTTTTTTCATGTAAGGCTAGACAGAAGAATTCTCAATAACTTCCTTGTGTTGTGTGTATTCAACTCACAGAGTTGAACGATCCTTTACACAGAGCAGATTTGAAACACTCTTTTTGTGGAATTTGCAAGTGGAGATTTCAGCCGCTTTGAGGTCAATGGTAGAAAAGGAAATATCTTCGTATGAAAACTAGACAGAATGATTCTCAGAAACTTCTTTGTGATGAGTGCGTTCAACTCACAGAGTTTAACCTTTCTTTTCATAGAGTAGTTAGGAAACACTCTGTTTGTAAACTCTGCAAGTGGATATTTTGACCTCTTTGAGGCCTTCGTTGGAAACGGGTTTTTTTCCTGTAAGGCTAGACAGAAGAATTCCCAGTAACTTCCTTGTGTTGTGTACATTCAACTCACAGAGTTGAACGTTCCCTTAGACAGAGCAGATTTGAAACACTCTTTTTGTGCAATTGGCAAGTGGAGATTTCAAGCGCTTTAAGGTCAATGGCAGAAAAGGAAATATCTTCGTTTCAAAACTAGACAGAATCATTCCCACAAACTGCGTTGTGAGGTGTTCGTTCAACTCACAGAGTTTAACCTTTCTTTTCATAGAGCAGTTAGGAAACAGTCTGTTTGTAAATTCTGTAAGAGTATATTCTGAAATATTGTGGCCTTCGTTGGAAACGGGATTTCTTCATATTCTGCTAGACAGAAGAATTCTCAGAATCTTCCTTGTGTTGTGTGTATTCAACTCACAGAGTTGAACGATGGTTTACACAGAGCAGATTTGAAACACTCTTTTTGTGGAATTTACAAGTGGAGATTTCAACCGCTTTGAGGTCAATGGTAGAAAAGGAAATATCTTCGTATAAAAACTAGACAGAATGATTCTCAGAAACTTCTTTGTGATGTGTGCATTCAACTCACAGAGTTTAACCTTTCTTTTCATAGAGCAGTTAGGAAACACTCTGTTTGTAAACTCTGCAAGTGGATATTCAGACCTCTTTGAGGCCTTCGTTGGAAACGGGA